>NC_000011.10:104142121-104445151 GCF_000001405.40 Homo sapiens | reverse complement strand
TAATTTTTTAATATTGTTCCTGAATATTTACAGGCCTATATAAGAAACAAGCAAGGAAGGAAGGAAGGAAGAAGTCAAATAGTAAGAAATATTGTGCAGAAAATAAAGCAAAGTGATAAGATGAAGTGGGTGAGGAGTGGGGAATCTTCTTTAGGTGGAATTGTTAATGAAGCCCTCTCTGAAAAGGTGACATTTGGGCACAGACTTTACTATTGGGCAACATGAGGGTCAAATACAATCAACAGATTTATCAAGACGGAAGTCTTCAAAAAAAATTTGAATGTGTTTGTGAAGACAACTCTCTGATTATTACAGGTTAGGAGATAAAAAGTAAGGAAGTGGAGTGACTATCGTTCTAAGGAGAAGTTTATTATCAACATCGAAATAACACCCTCATTCTATTAATAATTCAGTTTCTTCAGTTGGGAAGATATGAAGAAGAAGGAATCCAAAACAGTTTTATAAGTGGAAAGAGCTTTTCCCTTTTAAGCCAGGAAGTGCTGGGAAGAACAGTGAAATCATAGATAAGTAAGCATGGATTTAGCCCCCTCACTTTCTCATTTGTTTCTCTCATTATTTCCGTAAGATGTTAAATGAGGAAAGGCCTGAAATCATGTAACATTTAGAAATGGGAGGCAGAAACACCAACAGTGTTTTGGAGTAAAGCTTAAGTTAGTATATAGCTACAGTCTTCTTTTTATTTTTTATTTATTTACTTTTTCAACAAACTACTGTTGGCAGACACTGTGCCTGCCTGCCTTGCAGATACAGGATAATGAAAACCTAAAACTATGCATGCAAGTAAACATAATATCATTTGATATTATGCATTTGA
The DNA here is from genome assembly GCF_000001405.40 of Homo sapiens. Lineage (NCBI taxonomy): Eukaryota > Metazoa > Chordata > Mammalia > Primates > Hominidae > Homo > Homo sapiens. Next base: position 104,444,316 of record NC_000011.10, on the reverse strand, counting down.
TATTAAGCATTAGTTCCACTAAGAAATAGTTTTACAGCCTGGGAGAACTTTCTGAAATGTAACTAGTTCATGTCCATAATTTAAAGAAGTCACTTAACTTTTCAATCAAATTAACTTAGTTATACCTTGATTTAAGATCAATAAAAATTGTCATTCTTTTACATGTCTCAAAAAATGTTATGTATTATCAAAAGATAAATATAATTTAGTAACAGTACTATCATCAGTATGAATAATATTATAACAGAAAAAACAAGAATTTTGAAGAGGAAACAACCAGGAAAAGGATGCAGGTAAATTCAAAATTGTATTAGAGAATGAAATAGTTAAGAGTTTTCATTCGTAACTATAGATAAGAGATACCATACCTGCAAGAGAGAACAAAAATGTGTTTATAAGTAGAAGCTTCTTGACTTTGAATTGTCTTGGCAGCATTCAAATGCATAAATATTATTCATAGTAAGTAACAGGATAGTAGATGGGAGCAGACGGCTTGGCCTTCCACTCTTTTGAATATTAACAAATTTACCTTTAAAGCTGCTAAGTAAAAATTAATTAAACAAGAGTAGCTTGTTGTTTTGTCATTTGTTCTAATAACAACTTTGCAATTATAATCAGGACTCCTGTCAATTAGCTTTACTAAGTTAAGATCTATTACCTATCAGTACTCATCTTGGGTGAATACTGAGTGCTGCCTAATAAACCTAACAAAGAAAACCAATCCATTAAAAAGAAATGGCACTGAATCAAGAACTCCATTGGCAAGGAAAATAACTTGTTCAGCAGGAAATGAGTTGAGAGAAAAATGAGCCAAGAGTTTTGAATAGGAGCTTTCTATTAGTACCAGAGTTTTTGGTTTTAATTTTGTCAAAGATTCAAAACATTTTCTGATAATTTGTGCCCCTTTTCTTCATGTACATATGTGAGAAAATATATATAAATTTATCTTTGAAGGTTTAATTTCTAAGTCACTTTGAATCCATTTCTTTCCATAGAAAAGCACTATGAATCAAAGCAGTTTAAAAAAAAAACAATAGAAGAAAATGAAGTAATAGAGGGACAAGCTGACTTATGGAAAAATTAATTTATTTTGAATTATTTATGTGTTGAAAAACAAAATTAAAACTGTAAATTCTTAAACCAGAATTATCTAATGTATTCTTTTGTATAAGTATGAAATATTTCATAATACTTTATACCAAAAATCTCTTATTATCTCAGGATATATTCTTACAATGTGTCAAACATTATGTTTATCAGAACTTTTAATAGATACTCTCAAAATACTTCCAAAAATTTCTGTAATGTTTCATACTCTTATATATTACTTGTGAAAATATGTATTTTTACACATTTGCCAGATTTGAATGTGACATTTTTACTCCAAAATAATGGGTAACATATGCCATGCCATTGGTATTTAATATTCATTGTCTTGACTACTCATTGGTTATATTTATCAATTAACTGATTAATTTAGTCATTCTAGAAGCTTTTTAGGACTCAATTTTAAGCATAACACTTATTTTATAGGACTGGATGTCTTACACTAGTAGATAATAAATTATTAAGTAAATATGTAAAATAATAGTACATAAAAAACATACATTTTCCCCCAAATCTGAATTGTTTTCAATTAAATTTATAAAATATGCTAATAACATTGAAAACAAGAATTTGACTTTCTGTACAGTAATAATAATAATTTTGAAAACTTTAGTCAGCATACAGTATTAAAGATTAAGCTGGCTGTACTTCCTCCTTTTGTGGTAATACAATGAACTCCTCCACCTCGTTGCATCATGCTTCTCTGACTACTAAGGCAATATTAACCTAGCTCAATGATAAAGCAAAATTATGCAAATCTTGTATTTCTTGATAAGCTAACTCAGAATTGTGTGGTTGTGTGCATATGTACATATATATCACAAACATATGTATATATACTTAATACAAATTAAGTAAACTGGGTATTATTGATAAAAAGCTTCTTCCATTATGATATGTTCTTTGCCCTAACTTCTGTAAGCTTTAATGCCCCTAAAAGATACCATTTTAGAAATTTCCCTTTCCTTTTCTTGTTTATACTCAATTTTTACTTTCTCTATCTTCACCTGTCAAATTTTTACATATGCTTTACAAAAATAAACATAAATGACATTTCTCCCATGAAGTGCTCCCTGGTATCCTAGTTCCATGGTCATATGGTCAGAATTCACAGCACTCCCCTCTGGATCTCTTAATCTTTTAACTTTTTTTTTTATTTTTTTTTCAGACTGGGTCTCACTCTGTCACTAGACTGGAGTGCAGTGGCATGATCATGCTCCACTGCAGCTACTACCTCTTGGGCTCAAATGATTCTCGCACCTCAGCCTCCTGTGTAGCTGGGACCACAGGCGCAGGCCACCACACCTGGAGATATATATATACATATATACATACACACGCACACATACATAGAGATATATACATACATATATAAATATATATAAATATATATATATATATATATATATATACACACACACACACACACACACATACAGAGAGAGAGACTTTTGCTGTGTTTCCCAGGCTGGTCTCGAACTCTTGGGATCAAGTGATCCTCCGTCCTCAGCCTCCCAAAGTGCTGGGATTACTGGTGTGAGTCACAGCACCAGGCTAGCCTTTTAAATATTGTTGTTCTCATCACACTAAATATTAAACTGAAGCTCATGTAGATATCTGTCTCTCACTAATGTATAAACTCCTTAAGAACATACACTGTCTTGTTCTATGTATAAGTTACACAAAGTCAAGAAATATGTTTTGTTTCTAATTCACTTTTAAATTACCTTAGAATTTAGCATATGCCTGGATCTTTGTAGTTCCCCAGAAGTGCTTATTGAATTATAATATTCATCTTCATTATTATTATACTTTAAGCTCTAGGATACATGTGCAGAATGTGCAGGTTTATTACATAGGTATACACCTGCCATGGCGGTTTGCTGCACCCATCAACCATCATTTACATTAGGTATTTCTCCTAATGCTATCACTCCCCTAGCCCCCCACCCCCTGACAGGCCCCCATGTGCGATGTTCCCCTCCCTGTGTCCTTGTGTTCTCATTGTTCAGCTCCCATTTATGTGTGAGAACATGCGGGGTGTGGTTTTCTGTTCCTGTGTTAGTTTGCTGAGAATGATGGTTTCCAACTTCATCCATGTCCCTGCAAAGGACATGAACTCATCCTTTTTTATGTCTGAAGAGTATTCCATGGTGTATCTGTGCCACATTTTCTTTATCCAGTCTATCACTGATGGGCCTTTGGGTTGGGTCCAAGTCTTTGTTATTGTGAAAAGTGCTGCAGTAAACACACATGTGCATGTGTCCTTATAGTAGAATTATTTATAATCCTTCATGTATATACTCAGTAATGGGATTGCTGGGTTAAATGGTATTTCTGGTTCTAGATCCTTGAGGAATCGCCACACTGTCTTCCACAATGGTTGAACTAATTTACACTCCCACTAACAGTGTAAAAGCATTCCTATTCCTCCACATCCTCTCCAGCACCTGCTGTTTCCTGACTTTTTAATGATTGCCATTCTAACTCCTGTGAGATGGTATCTCATTGTGGTTTTGATTTCCATTTCTCTAATGACTAGTGATGATGAGCTTTTGTTCATATGTTTGTTGGCCACATAAATGTCTTCTTATGAGAAGTGTCTGTTCATATCCTTCACCCACTTTTTGATGGGGTTGTTTGTTTCTTTTAAATTGGTTTAAGTTCTTTGTAGATTAAAGAGCTTCTGAACAGCAAAAAAAAAAAAAAACTATCATCAGAGTGAACAGGCAACCTACAGAATGGGAGAAAATTTTTGCAATCCATCCATCTGACACAAAGGCTAATATCCAGAATCTACGAATTATAATATTCATTTTAAAGTCCCTTTCAGTATTTAGCACAAGTACTGAACTTCTAGGTAATATACATATATAACAAACCTGTATGTTGTGCACATGTACCCTAGAACTGAAAGTATAATAATATATATATAAAAGAAATTTTTAAAAAAAGAAAAAAATTATTTACTCAAGTAATCTTCCAGCAGCCATCTAAACTCTATAACACAGTGCCATCAGTAATGTGGGATTTCAATATGTGCGATTAATAGCTCTATTAAAGATTTTTCTTCTTCATAATGCTTTATCTTCTTTTATTTTAGAATTCTATATATTTAAAAAAATGCTTCAGTGTTGTCAAAAGATAAACAAACAAACCTGAAGAGCAAATGTATTTTGGGAGCTAACCATTGAACCATATAACATTACAATAAAATACTTGCTTCTGCAACATGAATGCAACTGTACTCATGGTTCAGCAAGTTCTCAGAGCGTAATATTAAAGCAGATAACTAGATTCTCAATGTGATATGGAAACAATCTCTATTGCTTGTAGAGTGCAGATTGAAAATATTACATAGCCTCAGTTTGACATTCAACTTAAATGCCTTTCTACTTGATTACTTGACCCTTGTTCTGAGTTTCCAGCTTTTTAAAAAAATTGTTTAGTTGAAAACAATTCAAAAGAAAGAATGTTTAATGCATGTATTGATTTGGCTGCCCAGTCCTGCTACTCATTTAATAAATATTTATCTATTCACTGTTCCAGGGGCTGATGCAGAAAATGCAGCAACAAAGAAAAAGACACAAAGGAGTGTCTCTTGTATATGTCAGGTATTGTTTTTCTCATAAGAATATATAGAATTTACACACAGAAATATGAGAGATCTTTGTAAACTCTAAGATCATGTGACTCGTAAGAGCTGAGAAAAGCTCATGGGAAGTAGCATGATCTGACTTAAGAGTTTACACAGATCTCTTATAATTCTGTGTGGAGTACATTCTATATTGGGGCAGCCTGGAAGCAAGGGGATCATTTTAGAAGGCTTGATAAAACTTCCAGGTTATGAAATGAAGGTGACTTGGTCAGAGGTGGTAGTCATGTAGGCGGGTTAGGGATGATAAAATTTTAGACATACTTTGAAGGTAGTTACAATATTTTTTCCTTGATGGTTTGAGTTTGGAGTGTGAATTGAAGACACACGTGAAAAAAGAAATGGAAAAGGTTTTAGCTTCAGCCAGTGGTCGAATGGACTAGACATTACTAAAACAAAAAGGTGGGGAAGAGCAGGAGTGTAAGGCTAGAGATAAGAAGTAGATGAAGGTCATAAGTCAGAACATTGAAAACTATGAGACCAGATAAGATCTGCTGGAATGTGACTGTAGGTAGAAAAAAACAGGATATCCAAGGAATATGTATTGATGCATTACAATATTTAGAAGTTGGCAAGGTAAGAAGAATGGAGAGAAAGAGACAGAGGTTGGCCAGGGAGGAGGAGAAAAAGCAAAGTCAAATAAAGAAAATGAGTCAAAAACTTCTAGACTTTGCCAAATCCTGTGGACAAGTTGAATAAAATTAGGACATGCTCTTGGTGATTGGATTAGATAATACATAGATAATTAGGAAATATGAAAAGAATAGTTTAATGGCATGATGGAGAGATGAGCTTCACTGGACTTGATTCAAAAGAAGACAGAAGATGAGGTAGGTATAGGAAATATAGACAGGTTTTCAGGACTTTGTAAAAATGGGCATGAAAATGGAGTAGCAAGATATTAAAGCATATTTATACAACAGTGCAAGCTATCCGATACAGAGAAAAAAGTGACAATGAAAAAAGATAGGGGATAATTTCAGGATCAAAGTCCTGGAGGGAAATTTGTGGGATCCAGTGGTCACTCGGAAGAGTTTGCTGTAAACAGAAGAACAAATAATCCATCCATGAAAATGGAAAAGAATATACAGTTTCCAATGCAATTACATGAGTAGATTTAGTAATGTGAGCACATCTAATTTCTCTTCTGCTTGCTTCCACTACTGTTTTGCTGTTTACTTAAAAAAAATTTTTTTAAGCTAGTGAAATTTCAGGTCAGATTATCAGCTGAAAATTGGAACCAGGGCATATTGGATACTCCAGGAAACATGAGATCATATAAAATAGTTGCCTAAAGGAGTGGGCAGGTGAATGGACCAGAGTTAAGTCTTGAGAGAGTGAACAGATCCCTGAGGAATCGCCACACTGACTTCCACAATGGTTGAACTAGTTTACAGTCCCACCAACAGTGTAAAAGTGTTCCTATTTCTCCACATCCTCTCCAGCACCTGTTGTTTCCTGACTTTTTAATGATTGCCATTCTAACTGGTGTGAGATGGTATCTCATTGTGGTTTTGATTTGCATTTCTCTGATGGCCAGTGATGGTGAGCATTTTTTCATGTGTTTTTTGGGTGCATAAATGTCTTCTTTTGAGAAGTGTCTGTTCATGTCCTTCGCCCACTTTTTGATGGGGTTGTTTGTTTTTTTCTTGTAAATTTGTTTGAGTTCATTGTAGATTCTGGATATTAGCCCTTTGTCAGATCAGTAGGTTGCGAAAATTTTCTCCCATTTTGTAGGTTGCCTGTTCTAGAAATACCATTTGACCCAGCCATCCCATTACTGGGTATATACCCAAAGGACTATAAACCATGCTGCTATAAAGACACATGCACACGTATGTTTATTGCGGCATTATTCACAATAGCAAAGACTTGGAACCAACCCAAATGTCCAACAATGATAGACTGGATTAAGAAAATGTGGCACATATACACCATGGAATACTATGCAGCCATAACAAATGATGAGTTCATGTCCTTTGTAGGGACATGGATGAAATTGGAAACCATCATTCTCAGTAAACTATCGCAAGAACAAAAAACCAAACACCGCATATTCTCACTCATAGGTGGGAATTGAACAATGAGATCACATGGACACAGGAAGAGGAACATCACACTCTGGGGACTGCTGTGGGGTGGGGGGAGGGGGGAGGGATAGCATTGGGAGATATACCTAATGCTAGATGACGAGTTAGTGGGTGCAGCACACCAGCATGGCACATGTATACGTACGTAACTAACCTGCACAATGTGCACATGTACCCTAAAACTTAAAGTATAATAATAAAAAATAAATAAATAAATAACAGAAAAAAGAAAAAAAAAGAGAGAGTGAACAGAGATGCAGAGGGTCAAATAGAGATGATTTTCAAGCGTGATAGTAGAATCAAGGTTGGAGCCCTGCAGCAAGTGTTCAGGGGTTACAGATTCCAAACCCTGGTAGCAATTCTGGTAGTGACATCATAAGCCTTAGGCTCTTGGCTGTACCTTTCCTCCCTTAAGTACCTCCCAAACCACATTTAGGTAAATTATATAACCTACTCAAGAATACTTATACTAAATGTCTTTGTCTTAGTTTCCGTCATTTGTAACTAATAATACTGTGTAAACCATTAATCATTAATTTGAATTACTCAAGAAGGGTGGCACATATCTAGGCCCCTAAAAGGAATTCAATCATAAATTAATAAACCATAGCTAGTCAGTATTTTGCAGTTTGCTTAATCCGATCAACTAGGCATCCTTTTCAGTTAATTTTCTAACCCAGTCTGTTTATGGGTTCCTCTAAAGCTGTAAGTGTTACAAGGATATCGGTTGATATATTTAGGAATTTAACCACCATTGTCAGATATGGAATACAAATTTAATCAAAACCCACGACAGAATTTTTTAAACTAGGTCAAGGAAGAAACATATTTCCTTGTAATGAGCCATATTACGTAAACCACTTCCAGGGAGCATACAGGAAAAAGTACCTGTGAAGTATTAGCTATTAGTGCATAAAGCAAGTATTCCAGCATAGAACTCTTGAAATTATATCACTTGTAATTTGAAATTGAGAAAACTGAGGAAGCCATATATGATTCAAGCCCATAGCCATAACATTACCAGAAATAATAACAGTTCATTGAGACTAGATTGATCTCTAGCTAACCCACAATACTGTTTCCATTGCATTGAAGTACCAGTAATTGGATCATTGTCCAGGGCAACCCAGATTCCCTAAATTTTATCCATTCCCCCACTTTCTGTCTTAGACATCAAGTGTCAAAGGGTCGAAAAATTCTAAACTTCTTATGTTCAACTAATATCTCTCAGACAGCCTCTGGAGCCCAGTAAAACACAAAATCATTATTTTGTCACCCAATTTCAGGGCTTGAAAAAAACATGTGGTGATTTTTTTTCATAAAGATATATTTTATTTAAAATGGCATAGGCACACACCCCACTCCGGTATTCAGTGTTGGTGCAGCCCCAGCCACTCTCAGTTGAATTTATAGTGCCTTCAATCACGGTCTCTTTTAAATAGTTCCTGAGTGAATATCTGCTTTCAGCCTTCTCCAAGAGGAAGATGATGGCCCTTTTTCCCCCTCATCATTTAAATTCTTTTTTACTTCCTTTCACATCATTTTTGTGTATTTTGTGATCTGATTATAAAAATGCTTATGTCAACAGGAAGAACACCTTCACTTGAAGTATAATGAATAGAACATTAATTTGACATTAATAATTTGTTTTATGCTTTTTAAGCAGTAATCCTGATGAAAAAATAAAGAGAGTCCAGGCAAAATTGTTGGTAGAATGTAATTTGACTCCTGTGTGGGGCCAATCCTCTTATCTGTGGCTTGCACACTGTTAGTGGTTTGGGGACAACTACTGTTGTACTTTACCATCCTTACCCATGAATGTGAGGACTTCTAATGATCCTTTTAAGAAAAGAATAATTATTGCCAATATTGACTGAGCCCTTATTCTGTGCTGGGCACTCTTCTAAGTGCTTCACATGACCCAGCTTATCAAATGGTCACAATCACCCTTTGAGGTAGGTGCTGTTATTCCTAGTTTGCGCATGTACTATGTTCTAGTTTACAAAAATAAACTCAGGGGTAAAGAACATTCTTATGATATTATCAAAATATAGCATTTATAAGATAATTTGTGTTTGTACTATTTAAACATTTTATGAATAAGTGAAGATACTGAGTGTTCTTGTTTGAACTTTTTTGCTTAAAACACATGAACAGGATTTTAACAAATTAAAAAAATAAAACATTCTGCTAAGACCACTTCTTTAATAGAAATAGTAATTTTAGCATTTCTCTGAACCATTCTTTAAAAAAAGTGTTGCATTTTAAAAAGTTTCTCAAACTTCTGTTGTCAAAAAGATTCCAAGTGTTCAAATTCAAGAAAGCCATGTTTAGATTGAATCGTCCCTGCACAACTCTTTCTGAATAGAGTTTTCTATAGTTTGCAAATAGGCTGATGTAAAGGGAAAATTCACTTCTAGGCAGTATTTTTGGCTGAATGAGGTCACCTTTCTTTAATTCTCTTAGATGAAGCCTAAGAAAACTATATTTGGCCAGGGCAACTCATATAGCAGACTACAAAGGAGGCTGTAAAATGCAGTCTGACAAGGTTGCCACAGCTCATTTTAGTTCTGTGCATGTACTTCCTAAGTACCCCGACTTCATCACAAAGAAAATCCACAGGGAACCTGGGAGGAAAAAAGTGCTATTGCCTCTGATTATTTGATCTTTTTTTGTAGTAGCCTAAGCTAAAATTTATTTATATTTCATTCCTCTACTAAAACCTGTATCAGCAAAATGGGTTCTGCTTTTCTAACGTGCATTGGATTCTGCCAAGAGGTAATCTGATCTTAGCTATTTCCAGGATGCAGTCTCAATTTGACTTCAAACATTCAGAAGATAAAATGATTTATTGTTTTCTCTAAAGGTGCATCTCCTCAGTACAAAGCATAAAGAGAATCAGCTGTTTCATATAATCAGTTTAGACAAATTTAAATATACATGATCTAAATATGAAAATTCGTGTGTGCTTACATTCTTTTCTATGCTTCTCTAAATGTGTACATTGTACAATAGAAGACAAATAATCAAAACAATTACTAATTTATCCATTCTCTTTATGTTAGCCAGAGAAAACAACTATGTATATAAGTAGAAAACCAGCTACTGTGTAGCATGATCTTTATGACAACAAACTCTTTGAGCAATATTGATCTGGGCATCTTGTCATGTGAATTAATAGGGGAATATACTTTTTTTAGTGTATAAATACAACCTAAGAGAAGACTACCTATACTTCATTAAATACCACACTTTGTTCTTTAAGGGGTTCAAACACATAATATAAACACATAAATAAAAACATTATCACAAAGAACCAGTGTGAACAAAGGCTCATAACATCTTTATGACAATATTCACAGAACAAAGATAACTTATAGCAATATTCCTGACCCATAAAGATAGTGTACATGTAGCACCCGAAAACAATTACAATGCATGCTTCTTGTGGTGGCAATGGATTACACATGGAAAAGATTTCTTAATGCTGGGCTTACTAGCTTCCAAAACATTACTCCCTATCTTGATTTGTGTTTTTTTCAGAATCACATTGCCAAGTCAAGATTCAATGTATGTGTAGTATTTGCCTATTCTCTAGGAATTAATGTGTTTTTTCTACCCTCTTATCTACGCAACGATTCAGTAAAAAGAAATGTGGGAAATCATTATATCTGGAAAGTCTAAATACTTGAGGTATGTTTATGTTGGTTCCATAATTTGGTGGTCAAAAGAAAACCTTTATGAAGTACTCCTTCAGTAGACGGCTACATTTCATTTTATGAGACAAACTCCATTATAAAAGAAATTTGGATAATCTAATACAAGAATGTGTAAAGCAATCATAAGAACATTTGTATTCATATCTTTTTACCGTTTATAATATCCCCTTACATCCTGAAAAGTTATTTCTTCCCCATAATGTACCTTTCCTTTTCTAGACACAGTTTCTTCACAGCTGTACAGAGCTTTTCTTCCTTCTATTTGTGAATTAAGTAGAAACATACCTAATCTCCTTTATTACATCACAAAATCTTTGATTTAAAACCTCATGTTTTCCCAAGTGAACCACTGTTGCAATTGAGCAGCAGTCTTAAAACATAAACTCATACTTTTGGGGGAAATAAATGAACGAGACTTTTTTGATGCTATTTTTCTCTTTAACACACTCTTTAAAAAAAAGTAAAAGAAAGCAAGCTGTGGTTTCAGTCCTGTCTGTACAATCCACATACCCAAAGACCTAACTGAAATGACATGAGCACTATTCCTGACAACCCCCAGTATCTCCTGGCATTGCTATTTTAAAATTGTTCCCCAGGGGATAATAATGTGCAGAAAGGGTTGATAACCACTGAACTAGAGCCATCAAGAATATCTAGTTGATCAAGATGATTACAAAATAAGTGAATTCACAGAGCTACTTGTCACATCTGTTTTTTTCTCTATATCACAGCTGAGCTGTGTGAAATCCATTTCACTAGAATTTGTAATTATAAATCAACATCAGAATTTAAGGTGCCCATGAATATAAACATTCCTATGCGATAGGCTACCATACACCAACAGATGAGTCGATTCAGAAAGATGGAATTTATTTGCTATGATTCTTACCACCGTTTTTTCCTGTTGTTTTTTTTGTTTGTTTGTTTTTGTCAGAGTTTTGCTTAGTTGCCCAGGCTGGAGTGCAGTGGCATGGTCATAGTTAAGTGCAGCTTCAAAGAACTAGGCTCAAAGGATCCTCCCACTTCAGCCTCCTGAGTAGTCATGACTACAGACACACAACACAACACCTGGCTAATTAAAAAAAAAAATTTCTACAGATAGTGTCTCACTATATTGCCCAGGCTGGTCTAACTCCTGATCTCAAAGGTGATCCTCCTGCCTCAGCCTTCCAAAGCGCTGGGATTACACACAGGTGTGGGCCCACAAAACCTGCACTTACCTTCATAAAATCTCACTCTCATTAGTGTTTACAATCTTCATTAATACACCTTGAGGAACAAATGTTTATCTAATGTTCAAAAACCTCCTATAAAGTCCTCCTTATCCTTTCAATGACTTCCAGAAAACAAAAGTTACACAAAATCCTTAACAAAGTGTTACTTGGGATAATGTCTCTATAACAGGAATATTTACAGAATTTGTGCATTGATAATTTATACCACTGTCACTAAAGTTATGACACGCATTTGGATTATAAGTAAAAGTGTGTATATATTTCATGAATTAGACCACATTGTTGAGACTTTGAAATCTGACTCACAAAAAAACACCCATTCTCAACATCTCAGACCCCCAACAATTACCCCCTCCCCATCTCTGTCTCACAGGCACACACACACACATACACACACACACACATGCACACTCACATACATACTTCATTCTCTTTCTTTGACTCTTTGGTAATTCTGACTCAGTCCCCAGCATAGACTATTTCTCCTCTTTTATAATGTTAATAGTTCTCTTAGTTCAATTAAGATAGGTTGAAATTTTCCAAGGGCAAAATAGCTACAAATAATCAACATAGTAGAACGGGAAGAGTATTAATTTGCTTTTTTCCTGCATTTTCGTTTGGTCACAAGTTGATTAAAATTGCTGAATCTCTTTTTTGTTTAAATTTTTTAAAGTAGAACTATAATTAAATCCTCTCATGTCTACTTTTCCGGAATTATAGTACCAACAAATGAGATTATTTCCCTGTGAACATCAATGCGCTGGTGAAATTTTAGTTGCAATTAAAATTTTGAAGGAAAGGTCTAATAATGAAGACAACTTAATTTCTAAAATCTACAGTGTGTGCATGTGAATGCACATGTATGCAAAATAAGAGAAATTTAAAAATGTAAATTACCAATAATAGTCCATCCTTACAGCAAAACTGAAAATGAATTTACTATGATAATTAATTCATATGTAACTGGGAACATAAAAATCCAAAAGGAACAGAGTAGGTTGCAGAGATTGTAACAGAGCAGACAGTCAGTTAGAATTTACTTTTAATAAAGGGAAATGTGGCAAGTTTATGCTTTTTCAAACAAGACTAAGTACAGCTTATACCTACCTAGAAGCAGAGGGTGCCATACTAAGTAGCATCATCAAAATTTTAAATATTTTATTTTCAAAAGAAATTTTGATAAAAATGGAAAGGCAACTCAAAGGTGGGGAAATATTCTTAACATATAGATACATGTTAAAAGATCTAATTCAGAATGTGAAGAAATTAATTATAAGATAAGCAACCCAAGAAAACATGGGCAACAAGTTCAACAGATAGTCATTAAATAAGATATATTAATGGTCAATATACACATTATAAATACTGCTTGATGTCATTGATCATTGGGAAAATGAAAATTAAAACCACAATGAGAAACTACTACACACCTCTTAGAATGGCTAAAATTTTAAGGTCTAACAATAACAGGTGTTAATCGAACATGAAGAAATGAAAATGTTCTTCCAGTGGGAGAAATAAAAAATGTTTCAGTGATTTGGGAAGACAGTTTAGAAGTTTTTTTAAATTTTAAATATGCACTTACTAAATAACCCAGAAATGTCACTCTGAATTTTTACCATGAAAAATGAAAACACACACAAAGACATATACATTAACAATCATAGCAACTTTATCCATAATAGTTATAACCAGGAAGTAGTCCAAATGTCTGTCCACAGGTAACTGGATAAACAAATTGTGGTGTTTCTAAACAATGAAATACTATTTAGTAAGAAAAATACTACTAGCAGTCGTATTACTACTAGTAACACATGCAAAATTATTAATGATTCTCAATAACATTTAGTGAAAAAGGCAGTCTTGAAAGAAAACATTTCTTATGATTCCCTTTATACAAATTTTTTAAATTGAGAAAAGTAATCCATAGGGAAAGGAAGCAGATTGGTGAGAAGATATACAAATGGCCAATACGCCTATGAAAAAATGCTCAACATTACTAATGATCAGGAAAATGCAAATCAAAACCACAGTGTGATATCATCTTACTCCTGCAAGAATGGCCATAATAAAAAAAAAATAGTAAATGTTAGCGTGGCTGCGATGAACAGGGAACACTTCAACACTGCTGGTGGGAATGTAAACTAGTACAACCACTATGGAAAACAGTGTGGAGATTCCTTAAATAACTTAAAGTAGAACTATGATTCGATCCAGCAACCACTAATGGGTATCTACCCAGAGGAAAAGAAGTAATTATATGAAAAAGATACTTGCATATGCGTGTTTATAGCAACACAATTCGCAATTGCAAAAACGTGGAGCCAACAAATGGATAAAGAAACTGTGGTGTTCATATATATATATATATATATATATATATATATATATATACGCAATTGATATATATATATATATACAATTGATATATATATATATATACAATTGATATATATATATATATACACAATTGAATACTACTCAGCCATAAAAAAATGAATTAATGGCATTCACAGAGACGTGGATGAGATCGGAGACTATTATTCTAAGTGAAATAACTCAGGAATGGGAAAAAAAAACACATTCTCATTCATAAGTGGAAGCTAAACTATGAGGATGCAAGCAAAGGCATAGGAATGACACAATGGACTTTGAGGACCCAAGGGGAAAGGTTGTGAAGGGGGTGAGGGGAAAAAGACTACAAGTAGGAAGCAATGTTTACTGCCTGGGTGATGGGTGTACCAAAATCTCACACATTGTCATTAAAGATCTTACTTTAATGTAACCAAACACCACCTGTCCCCCAATAACCTATGAAAATAATAACAATAAATAAATGCAAGATCACTGAGGATGCTACAAAAAAAATAGATTAGAAAAGCACAAAGAAGACATTTCATATAGTACATACACAAAGACATACACATTAATGATCATAGCATTGTTCTGCTATGTTCTGGGTTTGATAGTCTAGTAACACTCAGCTGAATGATGTTTGGAGAAGAACAATGGCCACTTGTGAATGTACATCATTCTTAAAATGCATTTTGTATGTTCTAGTAAAAGTCATTTACCTATCCCCCCAAAATATAAATAAATAAATAGAAAGTGAACTTTTTTTGGACGATAGAAGTATTTTACATGTTGCTTGTAGTGGTGGTGAACAAGTGTATAAATGTGTCAAAACATCACAACATAAACTTAAAATCAATGCTTTTCTGTAAGTTAATTAAACCTCAATAATTTAATTTATAAAATATGGGTTTTTTTTTTTAGGGAAAAAAAGGCAGTGTTAAGATTTTGCTGTGTAACAAATTACAGTCTAGGCCAAAGACTGAAAAATAAGAGCTTTTGTAATGCTAAAGCCATTTAATTTATAAAATGTGTGTGTGTGTGTGTGTTTTATAAAGAAAAAGACAGTGTTAAGGTTTTGTTATCTAACAAGTTACAGTCCAGTCCAAAGACTTTTAGCAAGAAAAATAAGAGATTTTGTAATGCTAAAGGTCGTAATGCACAATTGAGATATTAACAGTTATCAATAGCTATGAACAAAAACACAAGAACTGTTACAGGAAACTACAAGATATCCAAAGGGCAATCTGCAGAATAGCACTAATAATTGGAGTTCTTAATTCTCAGTCCAAGATATATCACCTGGGCAAAAATAATAAAAGATTAAGAAGACCTAATGTATATAATCAGTTGGATAAATATTACGGACACATATGAAACATTGCATGTTATTGATAAAAAACATAGTTTTCTTCAAGTCCACACTAATATTTTTAAAATTAGACATTTGTTAAATTAAATTAAAGATAAATTAAAAATTGTAGAAATCATATCGAAAGAATGATACAAAAAACTCCTATCTCTTAAAAATGCACACACAGGGCCGGGTGCGGTGGCTTACGCCTGTAACCCCAGCACTTTGGGAGACCAAGGCGGGTGGATAGCGAGGTCAAGAGATCAAGACCATCCTGGCCAACATTGTGAAACCCCGTCTCTACTAAAAATACAAAAATTAGCCGGGTGTGGTGGTGGGTGCCTGTAGTCCCAGCTACTTGGGAGGCTGAGGCAGGAGAATAACTTGAACCCGGGAGGCGGAGGCTGCAGTGAGCCAAGATGGCGCCACTGCACTGCAGCCTGGTGACAAAGCGAGAGTCTGTCTCAAAAAAAAAAAAAAAAAAAAAAAAAAAATTGCACACACACACACACACACATACACACACACACATACATTAATTAACTTGAGTCAACAAAGGAAAAAACACTGACATTGTAGAATTGAAGACTTCCTAGAAAATAATGATAATGATAATACACATCAAGATTTATTTAAAACACTAAATCAGTAATATAAAAAGGTTCATAATTCTAAAGGCATCAAAATAACTTAGGAAGAAATAAAAATAAACTATAAATTCATAATGAAAGCAGAAAGAGAAAAACATAAAAAGTAGAAAATGAGTTAGAAATCAGAAAACCATATAATTATTAAACTACAGCACTGTTTCCTTGAATCCTTGAGATAAACAAATAGATAGCTAACCTAATCAAAAATAAATGAAAAAGGTTCAACTATAGAAAAATGAAAATCTATAAAAAAAGTTTGAGTATAAAAAAGAAAAATAAAATGATCATGGAAACAGGAGATTTAAAAGTCTATATTGCATGCATCTATTCAAATGTATTTGAGAAATGATGAAATGATATTCTAAAAATTAATAGTTTACTGGAATTTACCTATGTGTAGATATGTGGAAAAAAATAAACAGCCCAGTTTCTATAGGAAAATAATGAGAAATTCCAAAAATCTAAAAATGCTAAATCTGATAAATTTCTAATAATGAGAAAATTCTAAAAATGCCTCTATAACATCTGGCCCATTTCAACAGTGGAATTCTGTGAACTCTTCAATGACCATATAATCCTAAGTACTCTTTAAACTCTTTCACCCAAATAAGAAAGTTTTCAAAAGGCTTTTGTTGGTAACTAACTATAACATCAATAGTCAAACCTAATAAAGATTTCTAAATATAAAACAGGAAAAGAATTAAAGATCAACCTAAGTTATAAATGCCTATGTAAAAATCCCAAAGATAATATGAGCAAACAGAATCCAATAGCATACGATATCACTTTGCAAAATAATCCACCAGGATCATTTCTGGCTAGTTTTATGATTGTAAATATTCAGAAATCCATTCAAATATTTTTTAAAGTTGAATATACTATGATTTTTCTACCATATTCAACAAATTCAACATCCATTCTTGATTTAAAAGTAATAAATGTTATAACATAATAGTGAAACACTGATCACATTTCTGCAAAAATCAGAAACAAGACAAGGACCTCTGATAACACTTTTATTATTAGATTTTTTAAAAAAAGAGATGGAGTCTTGCTATGCTGCCTAGGCTGGACTCTAACTACTGGGCTCAAGCTATCCTCCTGCCTCAGCCTCCAGAGTAACTGGAACTACATACACATTGTACCGTGACCTTCTATTATATATTGTATTAGAAATTTTATTCAATGCAATCAATCAAGAGAAAACAACGAGAACATCTGTACTGGAAAGGAAGTAAAACTAGTAAAAGTACTTCTACTTGCAGGTACCTTGATAGTATACCTGGAAAAGCTAAGAGACTCATCAGAAAGAAGAAATGATTATCTGTGTATTCTCACTAGTCTAAGTTCTTCTTTACAGTGAGAAAAATTTTTGTCTTCTAAGCAACCATCTGTGATCTTCATTTTGCTCTAGGAAGATACACAGAATAAGTCTAAATTTCCTGCCTGATATTTTGTTAAAAATTTCCCAAAAAATAGCTTCACAATTCCCCAAAATGTGCTCTCTTGCAAGGATGCCTGAATCTTTCAAAAAGTTTTTCTAAGATTTTGGATCTTTAATTTTGTTTAGATTGATTCTATTTTGCTAGGATCCTTCTTAAAATAATGCTATCAGAATAGGACAAAATACAGTAAGTATGTCACCCAGCATGAACTAAAGCTCCTCTATTGCTCTACTAAATCTGTAGGATTAACATGTAATTTATCATTCAAATGGTAATATTTTTAAGAGTGAAACAGGGCACTACTACTAACACTAGAACAACAGGCATAAAATAAGTCTGTCCATGGCAAAGAGGGATGTATGCTCCAGCCTCCTTAATTGGATTTTTTTCTGCTAATGTAATATAAGTTTTCCTTAGCCTTCTGAGTTTATGAGAGCTATGGTATTACCGGCAAAATAATCAAGTTTTCCATATTTGTACTGACAAGAATAGATTAACCTGACAAGTTGTTTCATTTATCTGAGCCGCAATTTTCGAATCCATAAAACTGAAATAACCAAATTTTGACTCATTAGTGAAAGAATTAGAAGTCTTGTATGAAAAATGTGGAAAAAATATATTTTTCAGTTGCTTGATGTTACTCATTTTCACTTAACAAATGGGTATTATAAATGGGGCAAATATTATTAACTATAATGAAAGAGTCACGATTATTGAGGGCCTTCAAGTGACAGGCAGTTTACACTCATTATCTCTTGTCTTTCAAGGACACTGTAGGAGATTTATAATAAGAGAACTTAGCATTAGAAATGACAAGTGACTGACCAAAATATAACCACTGGAAAGCAGTGAGACTGAGCTACGCTTGACTATTTTGTTCTTTTTGTCTTTCAGAAACCATGGAATAACTCAAATATTCACAAAGTAATAAAGAAAAATATAATAAACTTACCATTCAACAATATACAATACATCATAATTTCTTTTTTTAAAGAATCAAACACATTAAAAACCCAGGAGAATCATTTCTGGATTTCTTCTAAATTGTGTTCACTCTGACATTTTCCAGAATCAACCACCATTCTTTGTTATTGACCTGTCCATAAACATCTCTAGGGTGTTATTTTTCTTTTGTGACATCATGTAAGTGAACTGCATTGCATGTATTCTTTAGCAATAAGCATTTTTTCAACTTTATATTTTTATGTTTACCCACTTAATACATGATGTTAAAATTTACTCATGTTTTTCTTTATTTTTCATCATCCTGTTTAACATTTAAGTTGTTTCCAAGTTCAATAATCTCAAACGGTGGAGAAGTACCCATCCCTCTACATGTCTCTTCTTGTATCTTGAATCTCTGAGCCAGCCACTTCCCTGATATGTCACATATCTGAAATCACCCTTCTATACTCTGTCTTGCAGTTCTGGCATTGAGACTCCAGGCTTCTTTGCCAACTGGTTTCCCCTTAGTGTCTACCATAGGTGGATGAAGGGAAAATAAAGTGCCTTTCCTGCTTTGAGGTGGAGTCTGCATCTCCCCAGCAGTATAAGGCAGCAAGGACTCCAGTCTGGACTTCTTTTCATTTTCCCAGCTCCAGGTAGAAGGAGCAGCTCCACAGGGAGCCTCTAGTGGTTGGAGTACCAGCCATGCCATAATCTCTACTATAACTTCATACAGAAAACCTCTCATATGATAGAGGTCATCCCAAATACACACAGATATATAAGCACACACAGACACACACACACTCACATATATGCACACACACACACACACACACACAATTCTTTCTTACTAGTTCCTGTAGTTCTCAACTTTTCAATTTGGTCATTATCAATAAATAAATAAATAATTTTATCAAAGGAATATTGAAGATAGAAAATTACAGGCTTCAGTTAAAAAATCACCCTAAATTTTAACACATCAATTTATGGAAATTTCCTTTTCTATTCATTGTCTGAGCACTAATGAAATGCAACAATGAATATTTTTATTTATGTTCCTAATATTTCACACCCCTTGCAAGTGTATCAGAATATTCAGAATATGACAGGTACATTAATTAAAATAGTAAAGTACCTTTTCTGCATGCTAATATTTTAAAAGGGTAGTGCATTATGAAATATGTATTATTAGCTTTGAAATGGAAAGAATCAGAATAAAATTATAACAAAAAATGATTGCTGGACCAAAGACTACTATTTAGCTTTCTTGAAAATTAAGCCAATAATAAAATATAAAGTCAAGAGATGAGTAGATTTGATTTAAAAATAAAATGCCCTGTAAAATATTATTTCTAAATTTTTTATTATGACTTCTTTAAACTATGCCATGAATGCCAAAGTTTGTGGTGAGCTTTGATGCATAATTGTCTATAGTTTAGAACCTTCCATATTAGGTAGGTTCCCCACATCCCTGACAGAGTATAAGGCTTGTATACAATAGGAGCTACTCAAGAGAGGTTTGATCAGATTGCCTAGTCTGTCTGGGATGCCATAAAAAAAAGTAGCATAAACTGGGTAGTTTATAAACAACAGAAGTTTATTTCTCACAATTTCAGAAGCTAAGGAGTTCCAGATCAAGGTGCTGGCAGATTTAGGGCCTGGTGAAGGCCCACTTTCTAGTTCATAGATGATGCCCTCTGTCTATGTCCTCCAGTGGTGGAAGGGGTGAAGGTGCTTTCTTGGACCTCTTTTATAACAACACTAAAGTCATTCATGAGGACCCTGCCTTAATGACTTAATCACCTCCCCAAAACTCCACCTCCTAATATCATTACCATGGCAGTTAGGATTTCAATATATAATTTCTGGGAGGAAATAAACATTTAGTCCACTGCAGAGATGAGCATAGAAAATCAGTGGTTGGACTTTAAAAGAATGTGAGACTATTGTGAGATTTTAGGATCTTGGGATGGAAATTAAAGATACACGGGTTAAATAAGGGGCCCAGAAGAAGACATCTCTGTTTCTGCTCCCCTAAACCAGGTTGTTCTTTCACACAGTGGATCTTTAAACATCTAACATAAACATATGTGTACAGTTTTATAATCGGATTCTGATTATATATATATTTTGTGTTGTCTCTGCTTTATACATCTTATTTCCTGAAGGAACTTTAGAGAGTTTGCATATTTAGACTGTGGTGGAGGACATTAGTTGCTTGAATAGGTTGGTTGTTGACATACAAGGTTTTGGTTATGGTGAATCATTGTGTATGCTTCTGTGTGATGAGGTGAGGTGTAGAAGAAAGAAAAAGGAAAGTTTACTGTGTAGTGTGTCAATGCATGTGAATTTCCTAATGATAGGTGATGATCAGTCTAGCTGAGCAAATATTTCCCCATTTTTCTTATCAAGAGACCTGTTAAGGAATGGATATTTATGACATCAAAATAAAGGTGTGGAGGATTTGAGAGAAGAATAAAAATTAAATATTTGCAGACCCTGTTCCTTTTACAAACACAGGCTTTTAAAGAAAATTTGCTCGATGGTAAATAAAAAGTGGGCCAGTGAAGGGAATAAAATAAAGGAGAAAATGTCCTTATTTAAGAATATCCTGGGTTCTAATCCCAGTTCTTCACTCAAATACTGATAGGATGTTACAACTAGTTGCTTCTTATCTGAGGATTGACTTCCCCAACCTTAAATACAAAGCAGCTTAAAAAAAAAATGGTTTCTGACCCGACACAGTGGCTCACAGCTATAACCCCAGTGAGAGGTGACAGCATGCTGGCAGCCCTCACAGCCCTGACTCGCTTTCGGCGCCTCCTTGGCCTTGGCACCCACTCTGGCCTCGCTTGAGGAGCCCTTCAGCCCACTGCTGCACTGTGGGAGCCCCTTCCTGGGCTGGCTGAGGCCGGAGCTGGCTCCGTCAGCTTGCAGGGAGGTGTGGAGGGAGAAGCCCAAGCGGGAACCGGGGCTGCGTGCAGTGCTTGTGGGCCAGGGCGAGTCCCAGGTGGGTGTGGGCTCGGCAGGCCCCGCACTCAGAGCGGCCGGCTGGCCCTGTCGGCCTCAGGCAACGAGGAGCTTAGCACTCGGGCCAGCAGCTGCGGAGGGTGTGCTGGGTCCCCCAGCAGTGCTGGCCCACCAGTGCTGCGCTCCACTTCTCCCCGGGCCTTAGCTGCCTTCCCATTGGGCAAGGCTCAGGACCTGCAGCCCACCATGCCTGAGCCTACCCCCACCTCCATGGGCTCCTGTGCAACCCGTGCCTCCCCAACGTGGAGGCCCCCTGCTCCATGGCACCCAGTCCCATTGACCACTCAAGGGCTGAGGAGTGTGGGTGCATGGCGTGGGACTGGCAGGCAGCTCCACCTGCAGCCCCAGTGCGAGATCCACTGGCTGAAGCCAGCTGGGCTCCTGAGTCTGGTGGGGACGTGGAGAACCCTTTATTTCTAGCTCAGGGATTGTAAATACACCAATCAGCACTCTGTATCTAGCTCATGGTTTGTAAACACACCAATCAGCACCCTGTGTCTAGCTCAGGGTTTGTGAATGCACCAATCGACACTGTGTATCTAGCTACTCTGGTGGGGACTTGGAGAACCTTCGTGACGACACTCTGTATCTAGCTACTCTGGTGGGGACTTGGAGAACCTTCATGTCGACACTGTATCTAGCTAATCTGGTGGGGACGTGGAGAACCTTTGTGTCTAGCTCAGGGATTATAAATACACCAATCGGCACTCTTTATCTAGCTCAAGGTTTGTAAACACACCAATCAGCACCCTGTGTCTAGCTCAGGGTTTGTGAATACACCAATTGACACTCTGTATCTAGCTACTCTGGTGGGGACTTGGAGAACCTTTGTGTGGACACTCTGTATCTAGCTAATCTGGTGGAGACGTGGAGAACCTTTGTGTCTAGCTCAGGGATTGTAAACGCACCAATCAGCACCCTGTCAAAACAGACCACTCGGCTGTACCAATCAGCAGGATGTGGATGGGGCCAGATAAGAGAATAAAAGCAGGCTGCCTGAGCCAGCAGTGGCAACCCACTCGGGTCCCCTTCCACACTGTGGAAGCTTTGTTCTTTCACTCTTTGCAATAAATCGTGCTGCTGCTCACTCTTTGGGTCCACACTGCCTTTATGAGCTGTAACACTCACCTCGAAGGTCTGCAGCTTCACTCCTAAAGCCAGCAAGACCACGAACCCACCGGGAGGAACGAACAACTCCAGACATGCCGCCTTAAGAGCTGTAACACTCACCGCAGAGGTCTGCAGCTTCACTCCTGAGCCAGTGAGACCACGAACCCACCAGAAGGAAGAAACTCCGAACACATCCGAACATCAGAAGGAACAAACTCCGGACATGCCGCCTTTAAGAACTGTAACACTCACCGCGAGGGTCCGCGGCTTCATTCTTGAAGTCAGTGAGATCAAGAACCCACCAATTCCGGACACACCAGTACTTTGGAAGGCTGAGGAAGGAGGATTGTTTGAGTTCAGGAGTTTGAGACCAGCCTGGACAACACGACGATACGGTGTCTCTACAAAAAATAATAATTAAAAACATTAGCTGGGTGTGGTGGTGCATGCCTGTGCTCTCAGCTACTTGAGGGGCTGAGGTGGAGGGTCACTTGGGCCCAAGAGGTCAAGGCGTCAGCGAGCCCTGTTCACACCACTGCACTCTGGTCTGAGTACCAGAGCAAAAACCCATGTCTAAAAATATATTTATCTATCTATCTCTATCTGACACTGTGATCACCGAGAGTTTTCTTCATGTATTTGGTCTCAGAATAAAATTTTGAATATAGTAAATTTGGTGAAACTCACATATTTAATACTTTGGCTGGGAAAGAATAAGTAACAACCAAAGAGAAAAAAACTAGCTACAACAGGCTAACCACTAACAAACAACCAAGGGAGAGTCCCAATTTTCCAACTACTTCATTTACCTCAATGACACCTTAGTTAAGCTGCTAACTTCCTTCCTGACAAGTGTATGGGAAGAAACAAAGCAGCCTAATATTTTATTTAAATCCTAATCAACTTAATACAAATTGTTTTGGCTTTTTCCTTATCAGATAGCCTTTGTTTCACTAAAAACTTGTGAATTTTGGGGGAAAATAATTTCAGTGGTGATTTATTTCACATTAGATCATAATAACCTAAGCTTAACATTTAACATGATTTACGAATGTAGACAAATGATGGGAGAAAATGAAGAAGAGATTGATGGTTTGGAAATTTCAATTCTAAAACACTTCCAGTGAAATATTCTCTCCTGAAAATCTTTCTTATACAGACTGCAAAGCAGTAGCTCATAAGAAAGGATTATATTCAAATTGAGAGAGCTTTAGAACTTAATAGGAAATCATCAGTATACTTTAATGCTTCAAATTAATTTATAAAATATGTTTTTGAAGTGCCTTTCATGCTCTTTAAATTTTATGATAATTTCATTACTATAATCATTCTTTGCTAATTAATGATTACAATTTATTTAGGATGATTAACAGTTCTTTTTATAAACTCTGCCTATCTTGAGTGCTTCTGAAAATTTGATTATATTGCCCTGATGAGTGTACAAGACAGTGGAGGAAAATGTGGATAGGGCCCATTGTACCATCTTGAAAATTAGATATAAAATGGCCTAACATTGTTTTTCTTTCTGTTGGCGCAAGAAAAATATCTAATAATATCTTAATATATAATATGATATCTAAACTCTTAATGATAGTGTGGCTGAATTGTGAAAAGATTCTGAAGCTATGCTTAAGATGATATTTTAACAATCTTTCTTATGGAAATTTCATACATAGACACAGTAGCAGACTTTTCTTTCCCTATTTATTATTATATATCCATCACCTATTATCAATGTAATTTTTTTTGCTTAATAAAGAATTTTTTAAACATGAAAAAAATAAAAAGGAAAGAATATATAGCATTTGAAAGGGTGGAACATTCTCTCGACTCCCCAATTTCAGTAATTCACGTAGTGAGCATAACCCAGCGGAAGACATGCTGGACCAGAAACCAAGACAACAGAGCTCTCAGGTTAGCACAGGTATCTGACAGTTTTGTGGCTTTATGTGATGACCTTGATCGTTCAGTTTTCTCATCTATACATGGAGGTAATACTAGTATACTCTTGACCTCCCAGAGTATTGTGAAGATATAAGTAGACTTATTCTATTCTGGGGCTATCTCCAAAACAGTGCTTAGCAACCTGGATTATATTAGTATATACTTACACACTTGCCTTCCCCACTAGGCTGAAAGCTTCTTGAGGTCAGGGATTATGTCTGATTGAATCACAACAGATTTGATAAATAGTTGTTGAGTGAAGAAATGCATTAACCAACTCCTTTCTATATAGCAGGCTATTGATATTTTTAAAAATACAAATGATCCTCTAATAAAAGATACCAGTCCCGAGACTTGGATGCTAGATGGTCAGCTAGGCCTACTCACTTATGAAACTGGTGAACCCAAAGTGAGGGGATACAAAACAATCATTTGGGTAGAGAAAGAAAATATTAGAATTTTAAAAAATCAAATTCTTAAAAAAAACAATAATTTATTTTTCTGACACTTAATATTCTCATTGACACTGGATATTTCCTGTGTATTTCAGATGAGCATATGTCCCATTAGTTTCATGAATTTCTGTAAATATTTTCACTTTAATACATAAAATTTGATACCTCATAACCACATATATACTAATTACATAAGTTCTAAATTGTAATAATAAAATTAATATTCATGAGCCCGCAAATTAAATATGGTTGTGTTAGGCTGTGGGCTCATAAACTACAATACTACCTATAACCTTTAAACCTCTGTTTTGCTCCTCCACTTGAATCAAATCCCAGAGATGTTCACTATGCTGTACTGAAAATTACCACACTGTGCTACTGTGGTGGCTCACGCTCGTCATCCCAACACTCTGGGAGGCTGCGGTACATGGATCACTTGAGCCCAGGAGTTTGAGACCAGCCTGGGAAACATGGACAACATGTCAAAACTCCATCTCTACAAAAAATAAAAACAAAAAAATTGGCTTGGTGTGGTAGTGCATGCCTGTATTCCCAGCTACTCGGGAGGCTAAGGTGGGAAGATAGCTTGAGACTGGGAGGTGGAGGTTGCAGTGAACCATGACAGTGCCACTGCGCTCAAGTCTGGGTGACACAGAGCCAGACCCTGTCTCAAAAATAATAATAATGAAAAATGAAAATTTCTGTGCCATCTTTGAAGCACAGATGTGTAAACCTCCAAACAATGCATCTAATTTTGTGTGCTAGCATGC
This sequence comes from Homo sapiens, assembly GCF_000001405.40. Classification (NCBI taxonomy): domain Eukaryota; kingdom Metazoa; phylum Chordata; class Mammalia; order Primates; family Hominidae; genus Homo; species Homo sapiens. The sequence continues at coordinate 104,418,452 of NC_000011.10, read as the reverse complement.
TGCATGTAGTCTTCTGCAACTTGCCTTTTCACTGAGGAATACATTCCTGCAATCATTTCAATATAGGAACAACTCATTTTATTGCATCTCACTTTATTGTGCTTCACAGATATTGCATTTTTTAAAACCAATTGAATGTTCATGGCAATTCTCCATTGAGCCAAATCAATCAACACCATTTTTCCAACAACATGTGCTCAAGTAGTATCTCTGAGTCATATATTGGTAATTCTCACAATATTTCAAACACTATTGTTATTATATTTGTTATGATGATTTATGATAAGTGGTCTTTGGTGTTACTATGGTAATTGTTTTTGGGGAACCACAAATCATGCCCATGCGAAACAGCAAACTTAATTGATCAGTGTGGTTTGTGTTCTGACTCTTTCATCAACTGGCTGTTTGACGGGCTGTTTCCCCATGTCCCCATTCTTCAGCCTTCCAATTCCCTGAGACACAACAATATTCAAATTAAGCCAATTAATAACCCTACAATGGCCTCTAAGTGTTCAAGTGAAAGAAGGAGTGTTACATCTCTCCCTTTAAATCAAAATCTAGAAATAATTAAACATCATAAAGAAGGCATGTTGAATGCCAAGACAGTCTGAAAGCTAGACTTCTTGCACCAAATAGTAAAGATTTTGCCAAGTTGTGTATGCAAAGGAAAAGTTCTTGAAGGAAATAAAAGTGCTATTCCATTGTAGACATGAATGATAAGAAAGAAAAACAGCCTTATTGCAGATATGGAGAAAGTTTTAGTAATCTTGTTAAAAGATCAAAACAGCCACAATATTCTCCCAAACCAAGGCCTAATTCAGAGCAAAACCTTAATTCTCTTCAGTCCTGTGAAGGCTGGGAGAAGTAAGGAAATTGCAGAAGAAAATTTTGAAGCTAGCAGAAGTTGGTTCATGAGGTTTAAGGAAAGAAGTCCTCGCCAAGGAAAGAAGTTATCTTCATAACACAAACATGCAAGGTGAAGCAAGTGCTGATGTAGAAGCTGCAGCAAGTTATTCAGAAGATCTAGCTGTGATCACTGATGAAGGCACCTACACTAAAAAGCAGATTTTTCAATGAAGACAAGATAGTCTTCTATTGGGAAAATATGCCAACTAGGACTTTATAACTGGAGGGGAGAAATCAATGGCTGGCTTCAAAGCTTCAAAGGTCAGGCTGACTGTGTGGGTAGGAGCTAATGCAGCTGGTGACTCTCGATTGAAGTCATGCTCATTTACCATTCTGAAAATCATAGGGTCCTTAAGAGTTACACTACATCTACTCTACCTGTTTTCTATAAATGGAAAAACAAAGACTGAATGACAGTACATTTGTTTACAGCATGGTTTACTGACTATGTAAAGCCCATTGTTGAGACCTACTGCTCAGGGAAAAAGATGCCTTTCAAAGTATTACTGTTCTTTAACAATGTGCCTGCTCACCAGAGAGCTCTGATGGACATGTATAAGGAGATAAATGTTGTTTTCATGTCTGCTAACACAACATCCATTCTGCAGCCCACAAATCGAGGAGTAATTTTGACTGTCAAGTATTATTATTTAAGAAATATATTTCATAAGGCTATAGCTACCATAGATCATGATTCCTCTGATGGATCTGCACAAAGTAACTTGAAAACCTTATGGAAAGGATTCACCATTCTGTATACCATTAAGAACATTCATGATTTATGGGAGGAGGTCAAAATATCAATGTTAGCAGTTTGGAAGAAGCTAATCTTCACCCTCATAGATAACATGACTTGGTTCAAGGCTTTAGTGGAGGAAGTAACTGCAGATGTGAAAATAGCAAGGTTACTAGAATTAGAAGTGAATCTTGATGTGACTGAATCACCAAAATCACATGATCAAATCTGAGCAGATGAGGATTTGCTTCTCATGGATGAGCAAAGGAAGTGGCTTGTTGAGATGGAGTCTACTCCTGATGAAGATATTGTGAACATTTCAAAATGATAACAAAGGATTTAGAATATTTTATAAACACAGTTGATAAAGCAGTGGCTGTGATTGAGAGGATAGACTCCAATTTTGAAAGAAGTTCTACTGCATGTTAAATGCTATCAAACAACATCACATGCTGCAGAGAAATCTTTCATGAAAGGAAGAGTTAAAAAACTTCATTGTTGTCTTATTTTAAGAAACAGCCACATCACCCCAACCTCAGCAATGACTACCCTGATCAACCAGCAGCCATCAATATCATGGCAAGACCCTCCACCAGCAAAAAGATTACAACTTGCTGAAGGCTCAGATTATCACTGACATTTTTAGCAATTTTTTTAAATTAAGGTATCTATAGGCATCTCTAGGTATACACAGGGGATTGGTACTAGGACTCCCACATATATACATAAATCCGTGCATAAAGTCCCACAGTCAGCCCTGCTTAACCTGCATGTATAAAAAGTTAGCCTCCACATACATGGGTTTTTGCATCCAATGAATATTGTATTCTTGATCCACATTTGGTTGAAAAAGATCCACACATAAATGGACTCACAGTTAAAACCTTTGTTGTTCAAGAGTCAACTGCACGTTTTTTAGACATAATGCTGTTGTACACTTAATAGATTACAGTGTAGTGTAAACATAACTTTTATATACACTGGAAAACCAACAAATTTTTGTGACCTGCCTCATTGTAGTATTCACTTCATTGTGACATTCACTTTAATACAGTAGTCTAGAATCAAACTCAAAATATCTCCTAGTGTGCTTAAATACCATTTTAATACTGTAAATGTATGTATGATTGTAACACAATATGTATAATTGTATAGGTGTGTACAATCTTACATGTATGATTGTACCACAGGGATTATTTCCATTTTTTTTTCCATTACATGCAGTGTTCCTATGAAGATTTTTGCATAATTCACTTAGTACATGAATGTGAGATTAAATTTTTGATATATTTCTAGTAACAAAATAACTGAATAGTAAGAAATGTACATGTCCAATTTTAAAATAATGCCAGAGCACTTTCTAAATTGATTAGATCAATTTACACACTCACTAATAGTCAGGTGTCAGCTTTTGTTTATTGAACAGTTTCTAACAGTAATTTTAATTTTACTTCTCTCAGCACTAATGAGGTTAAACATCTTTTTGTATTTTTTATTTAACACAATCTTTCATAGATGTAGTTTTAAATTTTTAATTTCGATTGCATTTGTAATTATTTCTAATTTTCTCTCTCTGTCCCCCTCCCCAGTTCATTTTACCAGATTTTTAGTGGTTCTTTGCATAACTTTGATCTCAATTTTATCAATTTCAATCTTTAGCTTTACGATATTCTTTCTTCTAGTTTATCTGAGTTTACTATGTTATTCTTTTAAAAATAATTTAATTTTCCAGACAGAAAAGGTCATATACGTTATGATTACATTTATATGAAATGTTCAGAATAATCAAGTCCATTGAGACAGAAAGTAGATCTGCGGTTTCCAGGGACTGAGTAGAGGGCTTGATAGTAGGATATTTCTTTTTGGGTTGATAAATTGTTTTGGAACTAGATAGAGGTAGCAATTGCACAATATTGTGAATGACTAACTGCCATTGAATTGTTCATTTTAAAATGATTTTAATATTTATGTAAATTTAACCTCAATGAAAATAACTTCATTTGAACCATTAGTCTATGAATCTTCAGTCTTTATGTTTTCTTGCTATCCATTAATTCTATAGAGTTCCTCTAAAATACTGCTTTTGTTGTGTCACACAAGTGTTGACATGTATTGTTTTTTGTATCATCAGTTCTAAGTATTTAAACAATTTTCATTAGAAATTATTACTTGACCCATCAACAATTTGCATATATATTTTTAAAATTTGTAAATATATGGGGGTCTGTAAGGAAAAAACAAACACAACAGCTCTCTCCTACCATACTTTCAAAACACTCTCAATACATCACTTCTGACACCAAATGTGTGGCTTTTTCCCCCACACATCAATTCTCTGGTGGACACCAACTCGGTGCCTTGTAATTTAATTCTGAAACTACCAGGAGTTAACATTAGATTCCACCAGTTAAGGGCTCAGTCCCACAAGACTGCTCCCACATTAGACGCCAATCACATATCCAGGCCTCCAGCACTTCTGACTAACTAGTTATAAACTGGGGGTTCCCACAACCTCCTCTTCAGTTTTTGTCATTTACTAGAATGGCTCACAGAACTAAAGAGTTACTTACATTTACCAATTTATTATAAAGGATATTGTAAAGGAAACAAAAGCACAGCCAGATGGAAGAGATGCACAGGGCAAGGATGGGGGAAGAGATGTGAAGTTTCTGTGCCCTCTGAAAGGTGTGCTACCTTTCCAGACTTCCACATGTGTTCAGTTAATTGGTCACTTTCTGAACCCTATGGTTCTCGGACTTTTTATGGAAGGCTTCATCACACAGCCATGACTGATTATTAACTCAATCTCCAATTCCTCTCCCCTTCTCAGAGGATGGGAGGGGATGAATGTTCCAATCTTTTAATCAGGGCTTGGTCTCTGGTGACCAGATCCTATCTAAGAGCCCACCAAGAGTTGCCCCCTTACAATAAAAGACACTCCTGTCACCCAGGAAATTCCAAAGGATTAGAATCTCTGTGTCAGAAACCTGGGTCAAAGGCCAAATATTAGAACAAAAGATGCACCTAGCACCTCTACGGCTCCGGTAATTGACAAGAGTTTTTAGCGCTTTGTGCCAGAAACTGGGGATAGAGACCAGATATATATTTCTTATTATGTCACAATATCACAGTCATTTCTTTTGTGCTCTGCTATTGATTTCTAAGAATTGTGGTCAAAGAACATGATCTGTATAAAATCAATTCTTTAAAATGTGTTGAGAGTTGCTTTTTGTCTCCTATGCAGGGAATTTTTGTAAATGTTCAGGGTATGCTTAAGAGTTTTAATATGTTATGGAGTGATGTGTTCTGTTTACATCTATAATAAAGATTTTTAATATTTGTTGAAATCTTGGTATATTTACAAATATTTGCTTGACCTATTAGTAACAAAATTTTCATTAATTACCCAAACATGATGGTGGATTCATCAACTCCTAGTATTTTATTATTCTTGCTTTTTATATATTTGAGATTATTAAGTACCTACAAATTTTCCCAATAAATTAAACCACTGCCTAAAATAGTAATCTATGTTACATTATGTCAAATAATGTTTTTTGGTGTAAAATCTAATTTATCTAATACTATTATGACACTGCAAGGTCCTTTTACTTAATATTTATCAGGGCATATTTTTTCTTTTTTAAAATTTTGAACTTATATGATTTTTAATATGTCTTATAAATAGAATGTATTCTTTTTAAAATTCATTCTAACAGTCTTATTACTGAAAAGTTCAGTCCCATTTATGTTTATTATGAAGGTGTGTGTGTATATACACACGTATCTGCATATTAATAGGTAGTTTATATACATATATAGTAGTTATGTATACATGTATGTATGCATGCATGCATGTATAATGTATGTAGTTCTGCATAACATGTATACATATGTAAGTTATGTTATACATTTACATAATTATATACATAGTTACATACACATATATAGTTAAATGTTTTCCAAAATTTATTTTACTGTCTTTTTTCAAACTTTATTTTTCTAGTTTTGTTTTTCTACCTACTGCTTTAGAAGCTGTACTTGAGTTTCTTTCTGTTCCTGTAGTAGTTACTCTTAAAATTCCATTAACAACTTAATGATTTCTAAAATTATTTGCTATCTTAGCAAATTTCCTGGAAAATACAAGGACAACAAAAGAATGCAAATAATGCCATCTGCCTCCTCCTGACCTAAATAGGACATTTTTTATATTTTAGTTCTGCAATTAATATTAATGTCACAAATTATATATTATGATTATTTTATAAAAACATAATTACTTTTAAATTTGCATACCTATATGACTATTTCTTTGCTTACCATTTGTTCTTTCATCTTAGGTCATCCTTCTGTGATACTTATTTTTTTTTCTCTTTCTTAAAATGCATCTTTTTAGTTAAATTTCTTTTGAAAAGTATTTTGGTGGCTAATTCTCTTCATTTTCAATTATCAGAAAATATTTTTATTTATTCCTTATTCCTAAAATATATTTCTCCTAGGTTGAAGATTTTAGGTTAAGGCATATTTTTGCTGTTATTGTTTGCTTTTGACACTTAAAGGTACTATTCTACTGTCTTCTTGCCTTCCTTATTTCTCTTGCAGTCTTTTGTTACATAAAAACTTTTTTGGGGGGGATAATCTGTGTTTTCTCTGATTTATTTAAAAATGTTTAATATACTACTATTTATCTTAAAACTATGTGTGAGTCTCTTTTTATTTGCTCTGCTTGGTACAGATAATGCTTCAAGTATTAGCAAATCGATATTATTTATCTGCTTTGAAAAATCTTTAGCCATTACCTCTTCAATATTGTCTCTTCTCCTTTTCTTTGTCTTCTAGAACTCCGATTAGATATAAAGGATTTCTCGTTTTATCTTTCATGTATAAAGCTTTTAATTTTTTTTTTCCAGGATTCAATTTCCTTGTCTTTCTAAGCTGTTTTATGGAAAATTTCTCCAGATTTGTCTTTCAGTTCAAAAATTCTCTTTTGGGTCTAACCACAGTTTAATCTAGACATTGAATTTTTAACTTAAATGATTACATTTTCACTTTGAATACTTTTATTTGGGTTTTTTTAAATCCTAATCATCTTTTATCATATCAGAATTTTCTTTTAGCTAGACGTCTTTTTTTTTTAATTTTTAAGCTGTTCATGGATATCTATTTAATAAGATGTATATTATTTGCAGTTCTTGGAGTTCCAAATCTGCTGTGGTTGTTTTTGCTGACTCTGTCATGGTGACTTGTTTCTTTAGGATAGAAATTTTTCTTTTTCTTTTGATTGTGAGATTATATTTAACTACAGTTAATTTGGGAAATGCTGAAGTGCTGAGTTAGGTTTATTTCCTTTAGAACCTCTCCCTTTGGGGTTCCAACTTAGTGCAAGGATTTCAGCTTCAGCTGTATCATTTGCAGAGGCCTGAAGTGTACAAGACAGCTCACAGGGCCGATTATCAGATTTTTCCCTAAGGCTACCCTAGTTTGTGAGTAGTTTTCTACTAAGTTATTTTTCTAGTTCACTGTTTCTTTTCTTGTTCCATTTAATTTTTTCTTTTATGACTGGGGTTTCTTCAGAATATATACTTTGCAATTCTAGGAAAGAAGTAGAAAATATATATATATATGTTTTTTTTTTTTTCACATACACACACACACACACACACACATATTTTCAGATCAGGAAACTGACACAGAGTTTCAGTAATTTATCCCACATTACACAGAAAATGATAGAGACCGGAATAAATGCAGGTCTGACTCGGGAGCCCACACACCCACTGAAACATTTTGCACACTGCTAAAATGCTTCATTGTTAACTTGCAGTAGCTCTTTAATTCCTGAAAGAACACCACGTGATCATGTTGAGAGGTGAAGCCAGCTGGACTTCCTGGGTCAAGTGGGGACTTGGAGAACATTTCTGTCTTACAAGAGGATTGTAAAATGCACCAATCAGCGCTTTGTAAAATGCACCAATCAGCACTCTGTAAAACGCACCAATCAGCAGCAGTCTAAAAGTAGCCAATTGCAGGGAGGACTGAAAAAAGGGCACTCTGATAGGACAGAAATGGAACATGGGAGGCAAGAAATAAGGAAATAAAATCTGACCACCTCAGCCAGCAGTGGCAACCTGCTTGGGTCCCCTTCCACGCTGTGGAAGCTTTGTTCTTTTGCTCATCACAATACATCTTGCTACCACTCACTCTTTGGGTCCATGCCATCTTTAAGAGCTGTAACACTCACCACGAAGGTCTGCAGCTCCATTCTTGAAGTCAGCAAGACCACAAACCCACAGAAGGAACCAACTCCAGACACAATGTTACCATCCTGTTGCAAGTGCTTACATGTGAAGAACCTTTAGGCTTATCTACAAACATGTGAAATAGGTATTTTACATGATCAAATGCTATAATTCTATTGTATATTTAGCAGAAGCTATTGAAATACCTAAATAAAAAAGAGTGTCATTTTGCAACTAGAATCCTGTTTAGAGAGGATTTGCATTTTCCAGGCATAAAACTGTGGTTCTAATACCTCAATCTAATTTGTAAATGCTATGAAAGTAACCTAGGAAACATTTCAGCTATTTTCTTAGATCTAGTGGATTCATCTTTTATCTAAACCAAGTTAAAACCTACTGAACATAGTGTAGATATTTAATAAATATGTATCAACTTCCTTAGGTAAAGGTGAAAGACTTAGAAATGATTTTTCTACCCTGAAAACTAAACATTGATTGTTCAGTCTTAACCAGTAAAACACAGGCCCCTTAAAAACAAAAGGAAAAGGAAAATATATATATATATATATATATATATATATATATATATATATATATTTTTTTTTTTTTTTTTTTTTTTTTTTTTTTTTACTGTATCCATATTTCCATTGTTTACAGGGCATTTAGCTTTCTTCAGCCACGAGCTTTTAGTATTCCTCATGATGATTATGCAGGAGAATTTCATCAGCCTTTGACTTTCACCACAGATTCTTTGCTGCCAGTGGCATATTTGACTATGATTAATGACAGTTTGATCCAAAGTTTGTTTTTTCATTTATTCATCCAGACTGTTAGTTTCATAAGTGCAAATCTTTACCAGATCATTAATTTCAGTGGGAGCAATACCAACATTGGAAGAGCAGAGCTAGGGTAGGTAATTAAAAAACTGAATAATTTTTTTCTCTATAAAAAGTTTCTAAATGTCTTGAGGTTAGCTTTGAATACAATATGGCTCTTGCCTTTTCACAGTTGATATTGGATTATTCACTGAAAGAGAGATGTGTAAATGCCACACTAAATCAACTCAGATTATACTAAGAAGAGATTCATCAAGATGATTTTCTAAATATTCCAAATTCAAAGTTAGTCAAACACTAGAGACAAATTAGAAAATTTATATTCAAAGAAAACAAATTTCTTAAAAATGTGTTAAGTTTTACTTCATAACCAGTTATCTAATTTTATTTATTTACTTATTCATTTGATTTCTTGCTTTTTTAGTGATGAATATACTGTTCTAATAGGAAGTAAAACTCTTGTGAGAATTGCTTATTTGAGATATCAATTTTTCAGAAATTTATAGCACATCTATACAGTTTGCTAGTCTGTAAATAATGTTAAATAATAATTAATATTGATTTAACTTCTAGAATAAATCCATAAGAAACACAGCTACTATACTGGAATCACTATGCTAAATACTGCATTTGCTAGTCAATTCTTATATGCATTTACAGAAAAAAAAACTTCTTACCTTTAAATGGTTTTATTCAATATAGGCTACATTTTTCAGAGCTTCACATTTTGCAAAACTATGCATCTGTAGCCATGTAATTTAGAACCATTGCTTCTCACTGCATGCTGTTGTTTCATTGCTTTTTTCAGGGTCAGAAGAGAAAACATCAGCAATGCATATATCAGGAAAAGATAAGATACACTGGTGGACTTAACCTCATAGGCATGCACTTTCAAAAGTGACTTCCAGGAATAAATGTGTCTAAAAATAGGCCCAATATGAACAGAACATCAAAATGGTATCAACTTTACGGTCTGGACACTACCTTTGAAATCATCACACTGAATACATCCCTCAAGTTATAGATGAGGAAAGTCATCTATATTACATTACAAATATGGTCAAGGCTTACAAAGTCTAGTTCCATACTCATCCTGTAACATCAAAAAGTTTTGTCTCTTTCTTTTCATTTCCTAATTTAGATTGGGATGTATTTTTCCCAGTTACAAATATTTAAAATGTGAGGCTTTGAATAGAAAGGGTAGCACAGTAGCTACTAACATAATTTTGTTAGCACATTGTAGAATTATGTTCACATGCACATACACATATATACATACAGATAAAGAGATGATAGGTAGTTAAATAGATATATAGATTTCAACAATTTCAAAATCCAAGATTATAAAAGTAAACTCTAAACTTTTTAAGATTTCTAAAATAAGTCTATGAAGAAAGACAATAATTTACAGAAAACACACCTCAACTGAAATCTGGGTTCTTTCATTCACTACTGATGAAGTACGCTAAACCTCAGTATTATTTTTTTGTTTTCTGTGAAAGAAGTCAGAGCTCCATTATCTAATGATGCTCCAGGGTATTAAAAAAGTAATTGTAAGTTAAGTCATGTAAAAGGAAGATACAGCGCTTAAATATATTTTATAATAGCACTTGACATGAATGATCACATTGTATTTTGTTAAACAAACAAACAAACAAAAACAAAACTCTGTGACCTAGACAAGGGAAGTATTAGAAACACCATTATAAGGCAGATGAGAGACACTCAAGTTTATAGAGCTCTGGTTTCTCCATAAGGTCTTAGATGAGGTCAGGACAGAAGACCTGGGAAACCTATTCATAGACAAATGACAAGTTTATTTGGACACCTTCACGTTTGGTATCGAAACCTAAAGTAAATGGCTTACACTCATAATAATTAGTAAATGTGCCCCCCTTCATTTTTCAAATGCCCTAATTTGTATAATATTAATAACTCATTTTGAAATAAAAATTGATTGCTTATAAGTGTGTTATTTGTGCATACATCTTTTGGAGAAACAGGCAAAAGTATCTACAAGTCAGTGAGTGCTGGCTTCCCTAGATTATGGGTCCCAGCCTAATCTATCTCTTATGGAAAAATTAAAAATTAATAAAGCACAAAATCAAGACTGTAGTAAATAAAGTGAGGCATCTAATATGGTCTGAATGTTTGTAACCCCCACCAGATTCATACTTCGAAATCTTATCAGTTATAGACATTCTAGGAAGCTGAAGATGGGATTCAACCCACCCAATCCACATAGGCTGAAAGTGGGAAATAAATGATTCCTTAAAGGTATTTCACAGTGTTTTAGAAAAGGTTTTTTGTTCCAGGTTCTGGGAAACCACAATGAGAAAAGCAATAGGCTGAAAGTGGGAAATAAATGATTCCTTAAAGGTATTTCACAGTGTTTTAGAAAGAGTTTTTTGTTCCAGGTTCTGGGAAACCACAATGAGAAAAGCATAACACCGTGCCTTAAGAAAATCAACGTTCAGTGTGTGCAACAGACACACAAATAGTTTCTGACAATATTTTGTTGCAAATGTCTGAAAATAAGCTTGTGTAAAATGCTGTAAGAGAATTCTGTGTTGCTCCCACCAGACGGCAAATTGCTTGAGGGCTTATATATTTTTGTATTCAAGCATCCAACAGTGCCTATTATGCACTCAATAAATGTTAGAACATTTTACAAATCTGGAGCTTTTTTCTCCTGATAAACCTTATGATACAACAAATGATATTCAACAAAATCTTGATTCTGCTGAATCCAGTTTGTATGTTTGCATAAACCAAACTTTGTAAAGTGTATATAACTCCATGTCCTTGTTGAGACTGTGAGTAATAAGAACGTATTTTATAAATATATGTTACAATACATCCCAATCATTTGTTTTTCTTAGGACTAAGATTTTAGAATTTAGCTTTTTAATTCTTCAAAGGGCTTTAAAGTTTTATGAATTGTATTTTTCCATTTGACCGAGAGGTTCAGTGAGTTAGCTGCATTGTGGTCCTATTGACAAATGGACTTTTTTGTTGTTGTTGTTTTTCCCCCATTTTCTTTAGTAGAAAGGTCACTTCGATATATTTTTTAAGCTCCTCACCCACAGCAGTATTCCCTAGAGAAATATAACTTCTACAAATAGGATGAAGAGATATCTATAAATAATAAGACTCAAGCTGACAGTCTTACTATAAAAGAGTGTGATAAATCTCTCTTTTCAGCTTACCCCCCTCAACCCCTCCCTCTTTATTTTTGGTCTGGGCACTCAGTTTAGGAGACACACCAGGACTTTTTCCAAGAGCAGAAAGGTGATTTTACCCAATGAGCATTCTGGGATTCAATGGTTAAGGATAGAAAGAGTACCGTAAGCATCACGATTATTATTCCTTACTGTGATTGCCCACTTACTAGGTTCCACGCATGTGGTTAGCATTTTGCATGAATGAATATGTTTAATTTTCATAAAAGCTCTATGAAATTGATGCAATTATTATTGTTGGTTCAAAGAGTTAAATATTGTGTGCTAGTCAAATGGTAAATATAAAATATAATTGGTATTCAAACTCTCCATCTTGGCCTCAATTTTTAATCTCTGCCCTTTATTGGCTACATTCTAGATCATGGGCCACAGTATTATGTAACAAACCAAACGCTTATGGAATAAACTCTTTTTCTGAACAGTGCTATCCGAAGGGCAATAACCTTCAGGTGTCTAAAGCTGGGTAATAGTCACAGAAAGTCAAGAAACCCCATGCAGACAATGCCTTCCGACTCCTTTCCCCTTTTATCCATCCAAGTTCTTTGATATGCTAAGTTCTTCAGAACTTTCTAATGAGGGCTACATTAATTAATATACCATGATAACAAAAAGAGGGAGATCAACAGAAAGGATTACAGACTGGCAAATCTAACAAAGGCCATGGAAACTAATCAAGCCTACTTACAAACTAAGATTGATCTTGCGACATGATAGTTTCAATTAGATACAGATTTCAACAAAAGTACTGTATAAGAATTTATTATTACACTTTATGAAGCTCCAACTTTAAAGACAACAGAAAACGTATGTTTTTTCCTTTTACTCTATAAATAAAAGCATAATGCTTAATATCAAAAAGGTGACTATGACTTATTGTATTACTATCAAATAAAATTAATATCTATAAATGCTATCCACTTAAGCAGAATTTACAATAATGTGGGTAGTATTGAGTTGCTAACACATCAAAGTGAACACATGTTCCGACTGCCTTGCTAACAAGGTTGTCTCAAAGATTATTGCACAATATTATGACAAACTAAAGCAAAATATGGCCCCCTCTTGGTATTTTGAAGAAACTTTGAATTCTTTATTTTAAGAACACTAAATCTTATCACCCTTTAATTTTTTATTATGTCATGGTATCTCATTAATACAAATCATGTACACAATCTACTTTTCTAGAAAATTCTTATATTGAATGGTATTGAATATATTTTTCTGGCTTGTCTTAAGGCTATCTGTAGTATATGAGCAACCATAACTCTCAGAATCTTTACACTAAAGTCATATAATCAAAGAAAATGGCATTGGAAGGATATCTACTATACCTGGAACCCAGTATCATAAGAGGACCTGAACTCAGGAGCTGGCTTTACCATTTACTAAATCTGTGATTATGAATGTGTCAACTTGTCAGAGGCTTTTGAACCAGAGAGACTCTATCTTGAATGGGGGCTGGGTAGAATAAGGCTGAGACCTACTGGGCTGCATTCCCAGGAGGTTAAGGCATTCTTAGTCACAGGATGAAATAGGAGCTCGGCAGAAATTAAAGGTCACAAAGACCTTGGTGATAAAACAGGTTGCAGTAAAGAAGCTAGCCAAAACCCACCAAAACAAAGATGGCAACAAGAGTGACTTCTGGTCATCCTCACTGCTCATTATATGCTAATTATAATGTATTAGCATGCTAAAAGACACTCCCACCAGCGCCATGACAGTTTACAGATGCCATGTCAATGTCAGGAAGTTACCCTATATTGTCTAAAAAGAAGAGGAATGCTCAGTTGCAGGAATTGCCCACTCCTTTCCCGGAAAACACATGAATAATTCACCTCTTGTTTAGCATACAATCAAGAAGTAACCATAAGTAAAAGCAGCTGAGCAGCCCATGTCACTCTGCCTATGGAACAGCCATTCTTTTATTTCTTTACTTTCTTAATAAATTTGCTTTCACTTTACTGTATGAATTTGCCTCAAATTCTTTCTTGTGTGTGATCCAAGAACCCTCTCTTGGGGTCTGGATAGGGACCCCTTTTTGGTAACAAACTTTTATTGTGGGACCATGGTGGGAATAGATGGTCTTTATGGTCCCACCAAACACTGATATTCCATGAACTCTGAATATTGGGGAGTCATATAATTCAGCCCTGCTTATCAAGTTATCACCCAACTCAGTATGTTGTGACAGGGATTTCCCAAACACACTGTGCTTTCAGTAAACAGGAGTATATCTATAAAATCTATATGGAAATCAGATTTGTGAACCAAACACTTAGCTTGTAGAACTATCATACAGCAGGTTAATAATCTTCATTGGCAGAACAACAGTAATTGGGTTTGTGCCTACACTTTCACGTGGAAACGAATCCTGCCCTGATATTACTGAGCAAAGTAATTAGGAAACCTCTCAGTTTGCACAGATTCCACAATCATGTATATGGAGTACTAGAAAATGAAGTTTTTTTTAATTAAAGTTGGCATTTATGATCTCACAGCTGTTCCTTTTCATTTCCTATAAAGTGCCTTGATTTTGATACCAGGAGAATAGGGGTCTACAATATAATTCCAGAAGGAAGATTTTATTTGGCTCTGAACAGAGGAATTGCTGTCTTCATCAGAATAAAAGCTTCCCTAAGGCACAGCTCAATGCTCAGGTAACAACCTTGTTTGAAGAAAAACTCAATTTGGTTATATCGATTTTAATGGAGTTAAATTATTTGCATACATCATAATAAAAGAAGGTTAAATTGTCAATATACCATAGAAGGAACAAAAAGGCAAGTGTGAAATTTCCAAATATAGACAAGAAACTCTGATTTGGTAGGTTTTGCAGTAGTTTTGTAAGCAAGTACTCCCACTTTTCTAAGACAAAGAGAATGAGTTGTTTTAATTATTTTCTGTTCTTTTCTCTTTCCTCCTCTCCCCATTCCCCACTTCTTAGCTCTTTAGAAATGCAATTATAACCTCTACCTTTCCTTCACCAGACACTCCCTACAGGGCAAGCTTATCTGTGTGCTTACTTAGCAGCTCCAGAACCAGAAACCTCTCCCACCAGGAGACTGCTTCCAGAGAAAACAGTCAATTTACAACTTAAAGTGTGCCCCCTAAGAAACTCTCCCCTACAATACTAGCCATTGTACAGCCTGGTTCTGCCCATGATGGTACCAGCTTGACCCCCCTCCCCCAGTAAATAAGGTGCTAAAGTGAGTCACACAGACCTCCACTTGCTTGCTCCTTCCCCTGCATGCCATTCATGCCTAGTTCCCCTTTTAAATGCCCCTGCTTTCTACCACAAAATAGAAGTGATACATTTAAGGCAGGAAGCCTTAATGTATCACATTTTCCCCTAGCAAGCTTTGGAATAAAAAGTCACTTTCTTTATACCAGACCTTGCTCTTTCTAATTGACTCTGCAAGTGGTGAGTGACTGAGCCTCTGATTTGGTTACAGTTTTAAGGAGGTTGAATCCGGCCTTAGCTAAGCAAATCCATGCTTGTTGCTGGTATCCAAGCTGATTAGCAGAAGGAGGTGGGCTGGCCTGATGAAAGACACACATTTAGGAGTCCCCAGGTCAACAGAAATCTGGAGGCAGCATAGAATCATCACTTAAAGAAAGTCAAAGGAAGTTAATCCCATTTAGATGGAAGAAGCAAGGAAACCAAAGGGACTGTATGAACCTGTAAGGAAAGTGCCATCTCTATGTCCTGCATTGTTAGTAACTATATCAATTCAAGGATAAGCTTTGAATTTTACTGTACAAATAGAAAGTAAAAATACAACAAGATGAATGATTATATCTAGACTAATGTCTATTAGATGGCCAAATAGTTACCTAACCATGTGCAAATATATAAAGAAAAATGAATGAAAAGAAGTACACAAAAATGTTTAAAAATAGTTATTTGGGGGTAGTTGGTATAGAATTTTTTCTACTTTTTTGTATTTTCCAAATGTTTAAACTTTGTATAGCAAGAACTTGTAAATATATATTTTGCATTTTAAAATATACATAAGCTAATTTCCCAAATAAAAGAACAGAATAAAAGAACTGGAACAAATGACTTTCTATAATGCATTGTTAGGATGAAAAAAAATTCTTAAGAAAAAAATAAGGATGATACTTGTGAGTTTCTTCTGACTCTCATGCAATGCTAAAATTCTGATTTTATAGCTGAATTTTGAACGTAAAATATAAACTTGATAGTAATTTTGACTTATTGAAGACATACTGTGTGCTCATCACTATATCAAACACAGCATTATTATTACCACTTTTTATTATCCATACTGGAAGATAGAAACTGATACCCTGGTTTAAAAATGGGAACTTCTAGACTCTAAGAAGTTAAATACTTTGCCTGAGGCCACATAGCCAATAAGCTGTGTGTCAAGGTTTAAGTTCAAGTTTTTCTAACACATGTCCCCATTTTTTAAGAACATAGTAATGTTTTATCTGATCAAGACTAGCTTGTTTATGGAGAAAACAATTTGAAGTTTTAATAATTTCTCAATTCTCTGTGGTATTCTGAGCAATGTACACACACCAGGTCCAAATATGATTTTCTTTTGCAATTCAAAAATCTGTTTAAGTAGATTATTAGAGGTCCCAAGCAGTTTTATTCTAGGTTCTAAGCTGCATACTTTAAAGTTTCTTGGGGCATTTAACTTCAAAGACTTCCAAAGTAGATCACTGTGGTCTAATAAAATCTTGGTGGTACTCTTAATGTCCTTTGCAGCATCCCTTTGAAGCTGAGTTCAATTTCTTTATGCTTTTACAATCAAAGCTTCTATTTTGTAAAAATTTTCTGTTGTGTCAGTGTATTGGGTTTTTGAAGTACTATGTTAGTGTATTTTTCTGAGTCATTTGAAATTTTGTTCATTTAAATTTGTGCATTGGAATATGCCTGTAAAATCACTATGAGACATCAATAAGAGGTTAATGAATGATTTGTTTCCCAAACTCAGTAACTGGCAGAATTCATTCATTCATAAGTGATATTAACAAAGTTATGAATTTGAATATTTTTACACTGTAGAGAAAACAACATCAGTATTTCACAATAATTGTTAGAAGCATGAGTTTCAGAGTCAGACTGATCTGGGTTTAAGTCTCAGTTTTTCAATTTATAATAAACCAAACAACCTCAGACACAGTTTTCAATTTGTAGACAGAGGGCAGTAACACTGACTCATACCTTGACCATTTTAAGCTTTAATTGAGCTAATACTTTTAAAGGGGTCAGCATACAGTCGACACCTAGGCACACTAAAGGATCAGTATAATTCTGTTTTATCACTTTTGCAATTAGTATTAGTTCTGAAAGGTTGTTATTTTATGTATACTATCTTCACATAAAATGGCAATAAATATAAGTCATAAAGTAGAATTATGGTACCTCCATTCTCCCACTAATATATACATTTCTCCCACCTCCGGTCAAAGACTTCCAAGTATCTCTGCCTTGCTGGGGCTAGAATATCATTTTCATTTGAGAAGCTGAGTTGATTTTTGAATCCTGAAGAAATAGCTTTCCTGGCTGGGAATGGAGATCAGGAAAGAGGGCATTCTGCTCCTTTGTCAGAAGGATACAGTCCCTTCCCACCTGTCACATGTAAAAGTTTCAAGAAAAAACTACTGGGCCAATGAGCCTAAATGTTAGTAATCACCTGAGTATAAAAATAAATAACTGTAAAATGTAATGCAATGTATTTATTTATAAAGATCTAATGAGAACTTTTAGGGTAAAACTGTGTTGATAGTGATTTGAGCAAGAACAGAAAATGCTAATGATATTCTCTCTCTACAGAACAGAGAGAAAAAAGAGAAAAAGAACTTATAGAATACTCTACATATGTAATATATAGTAATATTATATAGCTATATATATACATTTTAGGTATACTAGGTATTTATATATATATATATATATACTTTATTATACAAAATATTTCATATAACCTCTTTTCACTATCCTGAAATCAGTAGATAACATAATCTAATTACCCACTTAGTGTTTTCAGAATCAATATTATGCATTTACTGTAACCTAAAGGAGACATAAAATAAAAACCTTTTAGAATAAAACAATATGCATTTCACTGTATAAATGACCAAGCTTGACTACCCTAGAAGAAATCATGGAATAGTCAGATTCTGATGCCTACATATAGAATCAAAGTGAATATGATACCTTCAAACACAGAATGACATAGCTTTGTCTTAATAACCACTTAAACGCCAAAAGTGGCTTCACCATTAATGAAAAATTCTTGCAAAACCCCATCCCCTTCAAAAAATATGTTTTTCCTTCAATTTGTATGGAGATGGCAATCTTAAAAGTTTAGTGTATATTGAAACCACGCCAAAAAAAATGTGTGCTTCAATATAAAATGGGGTTAGGTTTTAGGCTTAGATAATAACAAATGAGTAGTTCACCTTCTTGTATGTCTGAGGGACTTTTAAAACACAGCAGGTCACAGGAAGTTCTTTGCTGAATGGAACTGTCGCAAGAATTGCAGGAAGTCTAGCAACCTTGGCCAAACATATATTATCACCAACACTAATATGACCAAATTCCAATTGTACCTTGTTTAGCCTTAGAAAATGATACCTCAAAATGAAGACCTCAGAAGCATCCTCAGAAGTAAAAGTTTTTCTCTAACCTTTTCCTGCCCCTCTGTTTTGTACCTCTAATTCTCCCCTGATTCTGGCCATGGAAACTATGGAAACTAGAATCCCACTTCGCCAAGGCAGGTAATAGAAACTAGAACCTCATTTTCTTTTCTTTTTCTTGTTGTTGTTTTTTTTTTTTTTTTTTTTTTTTAAGACAGAGTCTGGCTCTTGTCGCCCAGGCTGGAGTGCAATGACACGATCTCGGCTCACTGCAACCTCTGCTTCCCACGTTCAAGCTAGTCTCCTGCCTCAGCCTCCCGAGGAGCTGGGATTACAGGCGCCCACCACCACACCCGGGTAATTTCTTTTTACTTTTAGTAGAGACGGGCTTTCACTATATTGGCCAGGCTGGTCTCGAACTCCTGACCCAGGTGATCTGCCTGCCTCAGCCTCCCAAAGTGCTGGGATTACAGGCGTGAGCCACCACGCCCAGCCTAGAACCTCATTTTCTATGAAACCTAAAAGTATTACCCTAAATTTCCCCCAACTTTCTGTGAAAAAGCTGGCCATAAATTCTCTGACCTATCTTGTCTGAGAGCAAGTCGTAAGAGCCCCATTCAAGAGAGAGTCTTCCCTCACACTGGGATGGAAGGAATACTGCATAGAGAAGCCAAGGAGAAGCTGAATAGACAGGCCTTGCTGGATTTCGTTTCAGTCTATTAGCAGTAGACCATATCCTTGTGGTTCAATCGTATTTCTACAGGGCTGCCCCTACTTCATCAAACTTAAGCATAGCCAGCCTAAAATAACCAATGGGGCCAAAATCTAGTCCAATGCGAACTTATTCAATAACAAAATTGAGGATGGCCCACCACAGAAACACAGATTCTAAAAAGTATCAGTTTCAAAGTGTAGAAGTTTGAGATGGCTTATGTAGACAAAGCTTAGGGAGTTTAACAGAATTTCAACATCTTTCTATGTAAGGCTTAATGCATAGTTACAATGATCTGATTTCAAGGTGGTCTTTTTCATCCAGGAAAGGTATATTCAACATTCCACACTGAAGATGGAACAGTCATGGGGTCTTTTGGAACCATCATCTTCTCTGAGTGAGGTACAGGACAATAAAGGAGACAGTTAATCTATAACAAAGGTCAGGGATTGGCACAGGGGAGGTATGGTCTCTGTTCTCTCTTCATCATTTACAGAAAAATAACAATTAAGAAGAGACTTAAGCTACAATCTAAGAAGGAGGACTGCAGACAAGCTACATGATTCAGTCTCCAGGGCTTAATTTCCACCTCAGTATAATACATTTAGACGTCCTGAAATTTTCTTTTATTTTATATTATAAAAATAGATTGTTTTTGAATCTTTAGGTTTATATTCTGAAGCGCCAATGTTGAGAGGTGAAGCCCACTAGGCTTCTGGGTCCGGTGGGGACTTGGAGAACTTTTCTGTCTAGCTAAAAGATTGTAAACACACCAATCAGCGCTCTGTGTCTAGCTAAAGCTTCGTAAACGCACCAATCAGCATTCTGTAAAAATGCACCAATCAGCACCCTGTGTCTAGCTAAAGGTTTGTAAATGCACCAGTCAGCACTCTGTAAAATGGACCAATCAGTGCTCTGTAAAATGGACAGTAGCAGGACATGGGCGGGGCCAAATAAGGGAATAAAACCTGGCCACCCGAGCCAGCAGCAGCAATCCACTCGGGTCCTCTTCCACGCTGTGGAAGCTTTGTTCTTTCGCTCTTCACAATAAATCTTGCTGCTGCTCACTCTTTGGATCTGCACTACCTTTTTGAGCTGTAACACTCACTGCAGAGGTCTGCGGCTTCACTCCTGAAGTCAGTGAGACCACAAACGCACCGGGAGGAACAAACAACTCGGACGCACCACCTTTAAGAGCTGTACCACTCACTGTGAAGGTCTGCGGCTTCACGAGACCATGAACCCACTGGAAGGAAGAAACTCCAGACACATCTGAACATCTGAAGGAACAAACTCTGGACACACCATCTTTAAGAGCTGTAACACTCACGGCGAGAGTCCGTGGCTTCATTCTTGAAGTCAGCGAGAACCAGAACCCACCAGAAGGAATAAATTCTGGACACAATGTCACATAGAACTATGATCAAATAAATGTATTATGCCTTTCTCTTGTTAACCTGTCTTTGTTACAGTGGTGCCAACCGTGACCTTTCTGATGGGGAGGAAAGGGATCACCCTCTCACTGCCTCTACCACACCTTACAACCTGTGAAACAACCAAAAAGTCACTCACACATCCCTACATTACTAGTGAGAGAGCAAAATAACCCCAGTGAGTACCCCTGATAACAACTTTACCAATTAATTTGCTTAATTTAGATGCTCAATAAATAAGATATGTTAATTCATAATGATCATAGATGTCTTGCACAATAGCACGCTACATAAATCATATCTGTTATAATTATCCAAATTATCATTAATTCACAATCATTAATTGTTGTAGTAATTCTAACTTACATTTAAATAGATTGATGTATATTTTAAAATAAGCAGCCCTCGTTTACTTATCTGTTTCTGGGAGGAGATCCCTTTGCATGGGTACCTAGGCAGAAACTCATGGCTCTTAATTGAAGGTACCTGGATAATCACTCTACTCAGGAGAAAGAAAAAGGTCAGAGACTGTGTATTGTTAGCTGATTGTTATCCAGGATGAGGGAGAAGCCAATAATTTGTAATTGTAGAATTCATGATATTTCACATGGGTATATAAACCATGTAAGTTTGATTAAAAATTGCCACCTTGAAGACGCCCCTTCCTGGTTTTATTAATATATTTTATTTGGCTCTCCCCCGTGTTTGAGTATCATAAGACCATTTCTAAATAAAGTCCTTTGTAGTTTCAAACCTCATGAGAAACTATTTTGCAAAATTTCCAACCTCTACTCTGTAGCTGCTTTGAAGTCATTATGTGGCTTTTGCTTCCATTTTTTTAAAAATAAAACTGTCATTGTATTGTTTTTTACAAAGCAATTCATACAGTCTTTAGAGCATTTGATTAGCCTACTCTTGTGTTTCATTTATCACTAATTGAGAGAAAATAAACTTGGAATTACACAATTCTGAATTTGAGTCCCAGGTCTGGAGCTCACTATCTTATGTTCCTGGGCCAGCTGCTTTACTTTTCTGAACCTAGTTTCCTCATTTGAGAAATGAGAATAATTCAACCATCTCACAGAATGTTTATGATAATTAAATAATACATGATACTGGGACTGGTACAATGCCTGCCACATTATGACTGCTCAATAAATTATGATTATGGCTATTACTTAATATATCACTAACTATTACATTAACAATAAAGTACTTAAAATCTCTTTGGTTGGCACATGGGGCAAGCTAAATAGAGGGTTTGGAGTTGCTTCCTAGAGTAGGTGGTCTGGAGGTCACGCATGAAGCGGGGGTACATGAAGCATAATAGCAGGATCGTCAATTTAGGAGTGGTGACAGTAAATCAACTTTTTCTATGTCCCATAATTGTTAAAACCAAGACATGGCTGACAAAACTTCCCATAGACAGTTCCCATTCTCTTGAAGAAGAAAAATTAGCTTTGTAATGTAGCTACCGGTTCTATTGTAACCATGTTTTTTTCTTAAATTCAAACATTTGGTAGGGGATTACAGAACATTTTGAAGTAGACAGTTATTTCCAGAAACAGCAGGGGTGTATCTGTAAAATCTATGAACCATGAGTATGCTGATAGACACAGGGAAATACCTAATAGTTTTCAAATTGTTAAAGCCTTCAAAATAATCTGGTAAAACGTGCTATCAAATTTGTTGTTTTGCTGTATAATTGACTTTAGGATGAATATCACAGACTTTAATTTCTATTCTTCTCATTCCCATAAACATTAGTATTTATTCCATTCCCGTGGAAATCTGTATTATTTTTATTTTAGGTCTTCATAGTAAAAACAATCAATAGAAACAATAAGAAATTATTTCAGACACAAAAATAGGCAGCAAAACCAGGATACAGTAAAGAAATAACTGAAATATTCACATCTACCTAGGTCAAACTGAATTTTTAAACATGTACTTTAATAGGACAGGCAGTACCTTTATGTGATAAGACAATTCCCATGGCAATCCAGAGTATTACAATATTAAAACACTTAGAAGAAACAAGCAACATAGGGTAATACTCATTTCTGAATAATTTCTTATTGCTCTAATATGTTAAATTTTAAAGCAATCTTTCATGGAGAAATGACATTATAGTTAAATAAGCCATAGGGAAAAATATTTATAAATATCCCCCAAATTATCCATATTTGGAGTAAACAATAATCCTTGTTCACTCACAGAAGTGAAGAGTACTTTGAGGGACTCAAGACCAAGTTTGAGGGGTTTTGGAGAAAAAATAATATGATATAGAATTGATCACTGTACATGCCTCATGGGGATTTTTATTAAGCGGAGCATGTGTCCTAAACAAATTCCCCATTCATCAAACTTAAAAAGCAATTTTCCAGTTAACTTTCATTCTTATCACATTGTTTTATAACCAAAGGCACAGGTATAAAGACTGAATGAGTGGTTATTCTGTGTTTCGCAACAGCAGATACATAAAAATCTATATTTTTACTTAATTTCCTTGCATAATGAAACATATTTTTGTGTAATTATATGTGAAACCTGTAGCTATCCCAGTTGTATGCTATCAATTAAATATCCAAATCCCACACTGCCCTGTTTTCCTTGGGCCTAAGGAACAAAATAAAACATGCAAAGTACTGCAAAATTTATTAAAGCTTAACAAATAAAACAAACTGACAACCTAGTTGATGCCCCTTTAATGGTGGGCATTAAATGGTGGGCATATGATGAAACCATTTAAGAACAGATATAGATTGATATAATAACAATAAGGCTGCTTTTGAGCTGACAATAATAAAAGCATTAAAATAATTTAGCAACTAGTTTCCTATTACAGCATGATGTGTGATTATTTGGGCACTTTTTTTTTTTAGATATTTCCATGTAAGTAATTTAATGACACAACGAGCATTTCTAATGACCTTTGAACCTATCTTCAAAAGCACTAATGTTATTCCTAAATTAGCTAACATGTCCACAATTTCCTAAAGGCCTTAAAAAGAGGAACAGAAATGCATCTCAGAATGTATACTGCATGCTCTGTGGCTGAGTGAGGCACATGAAATCCAAAAATGTTATAAAATTCAGGTTTTAGCTCTAAAGATCAAGCCTACTTCAATGATGCACATCTGCTGCTCAGGTAACCTAGAAAAGGTAGCTTTTCACTGTATTTTATCTTGTATAGTTCTGCTCTTGGGAATGATATATTTTCTGCAACTGATTCTTAGAGCAGTAAAGGAATTGTAACATTTATACAAAAGAAACAAACTCTTTCATTTAGCAGAATGGAATTTCTTTCACACTATCACTTCAAACATATAAGTCCCATATAAAGGGACCCTGGCTATTTCTGTGGTTATAGAACTTGGAGACAGGAGCCTGCTGTCTCATAGGCCTTGACTTCTGACTAGCTGCTCAGTCCAGGAGAACTCAATTAACAAACAAATCTGGGCCTCAGTGCTTCCCATGGAGAAGGAAGAGCTTTTTAAAAATGCTTTAAAAAACCCAGATAAAACTCCCTTTTAAGCATTTTCTATGTGTGTTGTTTTTTTCTGTGAATTTTGCTACATAGAATTTCTAGGAGCATATCAAAGTATAAACTATCAGTAATGAATTAAGATTTTACCTAAGATTCCCTCTAGTTTGTGACTTTTTCATTTTCCATAGGGGAATAAATTAAAACCACTAGTCCGAGGAAGTAGGGAAGTGATAAGTAGCAGTATTTATTTACTCAGCACATTATATTAATTAACAAGTAATGTTTTAAAAAATTAGAAATCATTCTGTTATCAGATTTTAGACAGTAGAGTAAATTTAGATTCCCAAAAGATGTGAAAAAAATTAGGAGCATGAGGCCGAGCGCGGTGGCTCACGCCTGTAATCCCAGCACTTTGGAAGGCCGAAGTGGGTGGATCACGAGGTCAGGAGATCAAAACCATCCTGGCTAACATGGTGAAACCCTGTCTCTACTAAAAAATATATATTAAAAAAATTAGCCAGGCGCAGTGGCGGGCGCCTGTAGTCCCAGCTACTCAGGAGGCTGAGGCAGGAGAATGGTGGGAACCCGGGAGGCGGAGCTTGCAGTGAGCGGAGATCCTGCCACTGCACTCCAGCCTGGGAGACAGAGCAAGACTCCGTCTCAAAAATAAATAAATAAAATAAATACAAATAAATAAAAAAATTAGAAGCATGAATTAGAACGGGAAGATAGACTGAAGAAACGGTGTCCATTAGCTATTCAAGCAAGTGAGGACGAAGTCAAAACTAGAGCAATACAAATGGCATGTCATTGAGTGAGGAGTTCCCATTTTTCTTTCTTAATTTTTTTTTTAGTTTTTTGAGACAAAGTCTCACTCTGTCACCCAGGGTGGAGTGCAGTGGTACAATATTGGCTCACTGTAAACTCCACCTGCCAGTTTCCAGCCATTCTCCTGCCTCAGCCTCCCGAGTAGCTGGGACTACAGGCACACGCCACCATGCCCGACTAATTGAGTTCCCATTTTTCAACAGACCCTTACTAAACCAATAATTATATGTCTGATTATAGCATCAAGCTTAAGAGTTGTGTCTCTTCCCACATTTATCACAAAAGATCATCTATGTCACAGTGTCTTCTCAAATAATTTGCATGTCATGATAGAGTTGTTTGGCTGGAAGCTTCTCTCATCACCTGGCTCTGAAGCTAGTTGGGGTTTTTCATCATTCATTTAAGAAACTCAAGGAAGACGAAAACAAATTATCCTCATGTTTCAGACAACACAGCAGTGAAAGGAGCTTCTCATCAATCTCCACAGTCTCTAGCACATATTGAATTAACCTATCCAGTTGTATCCCTTCGAGTATTTCTCCGTATTTATTACCTGCATTATCCAGAGTCCTACTCACTTCCACATGTCCAGCAATTATATTGCTGGTCCCCAGAAAATTACCACATGAGAATATTTTCTGGAATCTGGATTTCCTTATTCTACCTCCATTACAGCCTGTATTAGTCCAATCAGGCATTGCTATAAGAAATTATAAGAAATGATGTTTACTTGGCTCATGGTTCTGTGGGCTAAACTGGAAGCATGGTGGCATCTGCTTCTGGCATGGCCTAAGGGAGGTTTTATTTATGGCATAAGGCAAAACAGGAGCACGCAGTACACATGGCAAAAGCAGGAGCAAGAGAGAGAGAGCGTGGGGTTGCCATCAGTTTTAAACAGCCAGATCTCACAAGAAGTCAGTCACAGTCACGAGAACAGCACCAAGAGGGTGGTTCTAAGCCGTTCAGGAGAAATTCACCCCCAAGATCCAATCACCTCCCATTTGGCCCCGCCTCCAACATTGAGGATTACAATTCAACATGAGATTTGGGTGGAGGCACAGATCCAAACTATATCACAGCCTTACCACACTGGTATTAAAGTCTGCGTTTGGGATTCATATTGCCCTAGAGTTCTCAGTATAGATTCCTACAATGTTATTTTGGTTTTAATCAGTTATTCTCCCTTCCTAGCTTGGCATATTCTACCTTCCCTGACCCTGTCAGATTTCGGCTGAAGAACTGCCACAGTTTTTAACCTGATAGAATCTTCAGGGTGAGGACACTGGTCCTTCAAAAATATCTGTCCTCAAAAATGTGCTGAATCCACCTTTCACCCATATGCTGCCTCAGCATCCATGTCCCTCAGCTAACTACTGGCAGGTTCTTTTACCCTGAGTTTTTTCAAGAACCTGAATTTCACAGTTATCATACACAAATGTTGTATCAGTGTCCTTAAGACTTAGATCTTATTTTCCAGAATAAATGCTGGTGTCTTGACCAATTCTTCGGGTATTTGACCCTTATCTATGTCTATTTTGTCTATACTATTCTTCTCTAGAAACTCACAAATTGCAAAGACCTTGTTCTGCTGTATAAGCATCATACCTTGCTGTCTCCCTGATGGATCTTTGGGATCTGTTGGTTAAGATGGAGCAGAAAGCTTCCTTTCTTCATTAAGTCCCACAGAAATGTTTCATTGAATATTTATGTTGGCATTCCTTTTGCACTGGGGACTGCCTCAAGTTAATCACTCAACAAAACAATTAGTGAGCCCCTAGACTGTGCCTAAAAACAGGATTGTTTTAGGTACTGAGTGTTAAAAATATGAGTAAGATACAGACTCAGACCTGGTAAAGGAGAAAAACACACAAATAATAGTTACAGCATCTGACCATTACAAGCATAGCAGTGACAACCAACTATTGGGTTAGGAGAGGACATATCAGATGACAAACTGAGTTGAATCTGAGAGAACAAGGAGAAGAAAGAATATTCCCAGTAGACAGGACAGCATGAGCGTCGATATTAAAGCAAAAAACAGAACAGAACTTAAGAAAACCTACATACAGCATTACTGGGAACGTGGTAAGTAATAGGACCAGAAAGCCTAAATCGTGGATAGCTATAATAGTATCCTAGAGTTTCATCTGGACTTTGGTTAAACAGTAACAACAGAAAAGAAAATTTATAGGGATTTTGCTTGGTCGGATTTCTTAGGTGAACAGTTAGGTTATCTGTGGACTCAAAATCCCTCCTATGATGACAATTAGTTTTGGTGAGACAACACTTGAGCCTTAATTTTAAGCCCTGGGTTTCTGTAATTGCCTTTCTGTTTATTAGATTTGAGGCATGATGTATGGTTTGCTAATTGTAATTACAGTAGGTTATAACCTCCCTAAAGGCGTGAAGCAAGGTTGTATTTTGTGAGAACTTTTTACAGTCTATTTTACTCAGGAATGCATGAGAAACCATAAGAATCCTGAAAGCTGGTCTTACAATATGCTTCTAGTCCTCCAGGAAATTCTTCCAGCTCACTGAGCTGTGTGCATAGCAAGTTCCTGAGACAGTGGTTTAGGGACTGCTGATTGCTCATGTCTATGCTCTGGAAATGCAAACTCAAGTAGATATCAGCCAAACGTATGTAAAAACTTGCTAAATACTAAAAATAATGATATGCAAGAGAAGGAAGACCTCTACGTTAAGTCAGCACAGTGCTACGAGCTAGAAGTAGCACAACTGCAATGAACCAGAAGGAAACCAAGGTCAAGCAGTAGCTGAATGAAAAAGTTTCATCTAAAAGACTACTGTGCATCGGAATCAGAACATTCCTCTGGTAAATTATGCATTACTGAAAAAATCCATCCTGGAGCTATTTTTTTTTTCTCATAAAACATGAACTATTCAGCCTAGAATTTAAGATCTTGATTAAGCTTCATTCTTTATATCCATCATCATTCATTATTTGCCAACTAGTCCCTCCCTCTGGTTCAGCTTTGGTTTTTTACTTTCCATAACCCACTCCCCTAAATGTGAGTATACGTGCAGTCCTACATACACACACTCACACACATACACACAGTGCTGATTTCTACCACTTTGGTATATCGCATGTTTCACAGTTTTTGTTTATTCACCTGTGTAATTAAGTCATGTAACTGAGCCTACCTTTTCTACACATAGACGAAGTTGTTTTGTATTCTAGAAAGAATGAAAAAAATCATGGCTTCTATAACTATTTTCATTTATGACTTGTGTCCTGGGGGATATTATTTTAAATCATATGGTCTATTTTTCTATTTTTTATAAGAAGAAGCTAACAATCAATTTATGGGAGGGTTATAACGATGACTGAATGGGTATACAAGAGAAATTGCTTACCACTTGGCTTGGAACATGTCAAGTGTTCAATAAATAATAGGTAAGTAGGAATGTATACTCTTATAGAAAAAGTGTATACATTCAATTGATAAGCATTTACTAAGTGTGTCTATTCTATGTCAGATATCATGCTAAGTGCTGGGGGCAGTGAGATAAATGGTATCATCCATATCCTGAAGATAACTCACCTTTATAGGCTCATTCAGTTAAAAACATGCAGAGAGAGAGAGGGAGACAAGGGGGAGGGAGGGAGGGAGAGAAGGAGGGAGGGAGGGAAGGAAGGCAGGCAGGCAGGCAGGAAGGAACGAAGGAAAGAAGGAAGGAAGGAAGGGAGGGAGGGTGGAAGAGAGGGAAAGAAAGAGACAGAGAAAGAAAGAGAAAGGAAAGAAAAGAAAGAGAAGAAAGAAAGAGAAAGAAGATAAAGAAATTTGCAATATGAAATTACTAGATTTTAAAACTTGCAATATTCTCAATTCTGATTCATTGATACTAGGAGAAATAAATACATATTGAATAGGGACAAGGAGGAAAAAAAATCGGACTGTTTTTTTTTTTTTTTTGATTAAAGTTGTTCCACTAGGGAATTGTCTATTAGTGTTTGCCACAAACTCACAAACTGCCAGCTATTAGAAATTACAAGTCAACATAAATTTCCTCTATTGCTCTGTTCACCCTGCTTCATCCTGTTCCACTGGCTACTAGGAATAACATCAAAGAATCTTCTTCCTAGTAGACCATGAAATTAAAGCTCAACAAACTGAAACAGCCAGTGGGTCTCTTCATTGGGTAAGGCCCAATCTGTGAAGTCAGTAAAGAATGCAATGGAAGAAACTAATGTCTCTAGGAAAATGTTTAAGTTTTGATATTAGGAGAACCTAATGCTAGTAGAGGATTCAGGCGAAAGCCTTAACATTTTTAGGGTGCTCAGAGAGTACACAGAAGAAAGTATATCAAGACATGTACCTAATTTGCCTTTATTCACATAATTTTTAAACAATAGAGAGTTGCTTCTTTTCAGAGGGGCTAAAAGATTTGGAAAGAATTTCTTTTAAATATAAGATCTCTACTTGTTCTTCAACAAATCACTTCTAATAGTCCCATCACCATTAGGGCTTGAAACTTTTGGTATTTGTGTATAAGAACATGCCATTGTTTATTATTTTTCTTTTTTGATTCAATTTTACAGCATCGTTTTAAAAACTAGTATTTATTGAGTGCTCATCATAGACCATATCCTGTTCTAATCACTGTATGTGTATGTATTAATTTCATTTTTATAACAACCCTGTGATGCAGATACATAATTATTCTTATTTTATCAAATGGGAGACTGAGACACAGGCAGATTAAATATTTTGGCTATAATCACATGGTCAGTAGGAAGCGATACCTGTATTTAAACCAACACAGTCTGACTCCACAGTCTCACTCTTAAGCACTACACAGCTCTTAGTAAGCACCTAGTGGATACTCGACGGTCAAACGTTGAAGATCCACCAATGAATGTGTGATATTTGCTCTCTAGGATATGCAGTTATATAGAAGGAAAAAGCAGGCAATTTTCAAAGTGTCATAAAATGTGAACTATGTTATCATAGCAGCAGATGCTCTCTTAAATGGGGCTACAAAAGAGAGAGCAGTTAATTCTACCTATAGAAATGGATAGTCAAGGAAATTTTAAGAGGAAAGCATTGAACTAAGTCTTAACATCGGTATGCCTTTAGTAAGAGACCATAACACATATTGAATGTGTCCTTATGCCACATGTTATTCTAAGCCCTTCACATGGATTGGCTCACTTAGTACCCTTAAAAACCATGTCAGTTAATAACTATTACTCTCTACATTGTATAGATGAAAAATTTGGGGTACAGAATGCAGAAGTAACTTGATCAAAGTACAAAGAGGTGGGACCTATGTTGAAACTCATGAGATCTGATTCCAGAGTTTGGGTCCTTAACTATTATACTCTTAGCTACTCCTTTAAGAGCAAGAGCTGATATGGAGAGTACATCAAACTGCAACTGGCAACTTTGGTCCTGAGAATGCCTGTGACTGCAAGGTGATTAGACAGAAGAATAGGTCAAATCTAGAATGTTTGTTCTCACCTATTCCAGGATGTCTATTACAAAACAGCCAAAAACAGATGAGAGAGAAAACATCAACCCCTGAATTTCTCTATAATATCATAGTAGAATTGACAGAAAATCGTCAGTCCTAAAGAGTGATAAACAAACCATTAGATAATGTTTATTGGGCACCTGCAATGTTTTAAGTATGGTATGCAATTAATTTCACCTAATTCTTATAAATATCATTATGTTGTTTACGTCATATTAAAAATGGAGATTAAATAATATACAAAGGATTGTACAGCTAATAGATCCAAGATTCAAATCCAGGTCTATCTGACAAAAACAACACAACAAGCTAACTTCTCTGTTATAACACTCTGTTACTTTTCTGGAAGTCTAATCACTAAAAGTATGTAATCAAAATCCAGAATTGTTTTCCAAAAGTTATCTTTGCCAGTGTTTAAAATCATTGGAGTTGAAGTGGCACTTAGTATACTGCAAAGCATGTAGTGATGATAAAAATTGTCTTGCTGGAAAAAAAAAATCTCTCACGGACACCTCAGCAGCCCAGTACCCCCATGATCAGGCAGTATTGTAACAGATTATTATAAGGTTGTCACGGAAGTGTTGCTAGGAATTCACAAGTGTTTCAGGTTCAAGGTTGTTTGTATTTTTGGCTAAAAGCAGTATCCTTGTATCATCATAAATCATTAGATTCAGGACTTATGAAGTCTAGTTACAAATTTCATTTCAAATAGGTCAGGTTCCAGGCTATATTAGAGCAGGGCCAAATTAAAAAAAAAGAAATTAAGAAATAATTAAATGAAAAAGAAATGGGACTAAAAGAAGTAGGATTAGGATTACAAAAATAAGTTAGGATTACAGAACTTCCCTTGATTGAAACATATATACAGTTTAAAAAATATGTATAGCAACTAAACCAAGAAAGGAAAGAAATCTTATGGCAAAAGCTTACAATTACGGCCATAAGAGGAAATAATAAAACTGGGTCATGCCATATTTCAACACTGTCACTCCCACTTCCAGAAACAGTGCTAAATGAAAAATTTAATTGATAAAATTCTGTGAATTCTAATGAATGCCCTTTAATTTGCAGGAAATTTAAAAAAAAAAACTCTAAATAAATAAAGCAGTCCCCTGAAAACGAGAAGACCTTACCTGTCAGGGGAGAGTCTTAATAGTAAAAGGAATGTTAACTAGGACTTGGCAGCTGTTAGGACCTGTTCCAAGTTGGACACACTCAGGAAGCACTGGGTGGAGAGACATATAATAGGAGCTCAGAAGAGAGAGCAGATACTGGATCTCTAGCATCAATCTACCACTTGGTCTCCTCACTCATGAACCCTTACACTCCAGAACAGTGTCTTGAAAGCAACATCCAGCTCTTGCTCCTGCAGCTCAAAAGGAGGATGATAAACTTGTTACACCTAAGATGGGAACTGTGTCAAGGAGAATTTACCTATAGTCTTATCAGAGCAAACAGATATTCTACAGTCAGAGCTGCTAGATTAAGGACAAGATGAAAATAAATGGCATGGCAATTACATACAGAGCATAGCAAAAATAATTAATAAATTAAAATAAAATTTTGATCAAAAAAAGAAATGAAGAACCAATCTGGAAGAAAAGATAACTCAAGCAAGAGAAGTCTCAGGAAATATGTTGAGAATAAAACACACATTATATATTACATAAGTTACAAACAGGAAAAAATAGACGCTTACAAAAATCAAATAAATGATGTGGAAAATAAGTTAAAGTAATCTCAGTGATTTCAGAAGAAAAAGGGAAATAAATTAAAATGATTAAAATTGCTAGAGCAGACTGAGGGCTAGAATAGACAAACTGAGGGATGACTCAGCATGAAGATAATCATTATATTTTAAACAGAGAATTGCTAACACATCTTTCAGGAAAAGTGATCAGAGATGGCCATTGAAACAAGGGAGAACTGAAGTTGCAAAACATAAGATAACAGAATGCACCAGTCAAAGGTGTATTAGTCAATTTCAAGATAAATTCCAGTTATGTTACTAAAAGGCAAGACTAAAGTATTGGTGAGAGAAGAGGTACAAGAATGTATAAGAATGTACCACCTCACATTTCACAGCAGAGAGTTCAAAACATGAGTTTAAGAAGAACAAAGAGTCAGCCGGGCACAGTGGCTCACGCCTGTAATCCCAGCACTTTGGGAGGCCGAGGCGGGCGGATCACGAGGTCTGGAGATTGAGACCATCCTGGCTAACACGGTGAAACCCCATCTCTACTAAAAATACAAAAAATAGCCGGGCGTGGTTGCGGGCGCCTGTAGTCCCAGCTACTGGGGTGGCTGAGGCAGGAGAATGGTGTGAACCCGGGAGGCGGAGCTTGCAGTGAGCCGAGATCGCGCCACTGCACTCCAGCCGGGGTGACAGAGCGGGACTCCTTCTCAAAAAAAAAAGTAAAAGAAGAACAAAGAGTCTAACATTCTAATGATCTTTGAAATCTCTTTTCTTAAATGCAGAGAAGTTCTGTATAAGGTATTAATTCATGGCGAAGAAACATTTATATGACATTCACCAACTCCCTCAAGTCCACTTTTGCTTTCTTTTCATTTGTTAAATTCAAGTTAAATAAAATATAATGCTTTTTAAGTTTTAAAAAGCATGTAAAATAATGTCATAAAATTATTTTCATTTCTAAGTATTGATCTATTATTCTTTTTAAGTATATTCAAAGAGAAAATACTGAAATAATATCCATAAAATATTAGCAAGGATTATTTCTTGGTAGTGAGATTTTTTTGATTTGTGCTTCATAGCTATCACCTCTTTATATTTTTAATATTGTGAGAATTTTTTTTACTGAAAATTTATTCATTTATTTATGTTAAGGAAAGCACTACTATAGTGTTTACTATGTGTTAGTAATTGTCCTAGGTGCTTTACAAGCATTCACTCAATTTTCAGAACAACACTGTACAGCAAATATGACTATTACAACCATTTTTCTACAAATGAAGAAACTGAAGCAAAGCAAAGTTAAATACTTTGTTCAAGGTCAAACAGCTAGAAAGTGTTAGAGCTAGCATTCAAAACCAGGCAGGTGGCTCCAGAGACTATTTTCTTATCCAATATATTGTTCAGTCTACAATAAATCCTTTTAAAAAGTGTATAGTTATAAAAAGTAATATAAAAGTTTGTAACATGGAAATTCAAAAATTCAGCATTTCAAAATTCTGATATAAATAATTGTACTAATCAATTATCTTTAAAATGCTGGGACAATTCTTAAATGTTCCCTTTTATGTAGCCTTTATAGATGACTCTGTCATTTATAAATTCACAAGGTTTGCAAAATTTAAACCCTACATATGGTAATTGCTTGATATAAAGTTATGATACAGCTTGGGAGGTAACAAAGTGATCTAATATTGCAATAATCAGATGCATCATTATGAAGGATAAGCATTCTTATATTCTGAAGATAGCTACACATATGAATCAACTTGACTCAATTTTGATAAAATAAAAAGATTTATTTTTAAATCACTTGAGTTTAATTTTTTTGCATGGGTGTCATGTGACCACAGAGTAGTTGTATTTTTTCCATTGAATGTTTTAGCATAAACATAACCTGGAGGGGAAAGCTGCTTTGACTCTTCATCAATCAATTACTTTTTATTAGTCTTTCACCAAATGAAGAGTATGCAACTACACTAATTTCACCCATGACTTCAGATCCTGAAACAAAAACAGGCTCCTTAAAATAGCAGTGGAGGTGATGACTTCATTGGGCATTATTATAGAAATGGTAAAAAACCTTTATCTTTCAAAATCTTTTATACTGTTTTAAAAAGATTATTTTTGTGAGGAATCAAAGCATATTGTCAAATGATATTTCATGATTCTTATGAGTGCTTTCAATTAGCTAGAAACTCTCTTGATTTAGTGAACTTAGCTTTTAAAAAGACAATTAATGTACACTTTAGTCTGTGGATTGTTAAAAATGCAAGACAGTCATTTTGATTAATCATATTAAAGATATTTCCACTGAAAAAAATTGTTTAGATATCAGCTTTGGCACTGAAACTATGTGTAATACTATTTGAGAGCTTTTGAATTTTGTTTTATTTTGGAAAGTTCACAAGTTATCATAATACATTTTTGAAATTTGAAAATAGCAATGCATAGAAAAACAAGAACACTTATCTAAACCAATATTGGTCCTGTAGGTAAAATTGGAAATGTAATTTCACACTCAGAATGGCCCAGTGTGCTACTGGTATCCATGCAATGAAAACACAGTAGTAATTTTAAATATTTATGTATGGTTTTCATATAGATCAGTGTCAATTGCTTTGTCAGATTTAATATCAAAAAAGTGGAAGCTTAAAACTGATGAGTCCCCTAGCTTAAACATGCAATGGTGAAAAGCATCACCAAGATACCTTGACTCTAGGAGTTCCAGGAGAGTACAGCCTTCCTTCCATATCTCCTAGGGATCAGTGCCAGGACCCCTATGGATACTAAAATCTGTGATGCTCAAGTCTCTTATATAAAGTGATGTAGTAAATCATCTCTAGATGTACTTATAACACATAATACAATGTAAATGCTAGTTATATAGTTGTTATACTGTGTTTTTTTTTATTGTTGTATTTTCATTTTATTTATTTTTTAAATATTTTTGATCCAGGGCTGGTTGAATCTGCCAATGCAGAACCACAGATACAGAGGTCTAACTGTATAAGAGCATTTTTTTATTTATTTTTATTTTTATTTTTTGTTACAAACAGCTAAAAATTAACAAGGAAACAGATGTTATGCAAGTTAAAAGAGAATGGAACCAATAATTAAGAATACTTGATGGATATAAACGAAATCAGTACAGGTTAGGATTCATCAAAGGAGGTCTAGATAAATGATTTAACTACATAACTACATTGAAACGTTAGCTATCTAAGGCTTAGTTTAAGGATTGTCCATTTTGTATGAGTTTTTCAGGACATTTACAGATGTAGGGTCAATATAAACATCTCCAAATCTATTGTCATTTCTTCCTTGTCCTAATCCCATTCAAATCATATGAACATACAAATTGTGTGCAAGAACTATGTGAAATTCCTTGTGATTGTCTAAATAAAGAACTTGTTTCCTGCCTTTGTGCAAGTTTTCTTCTCAAAGTTTTCTTCCTTATTTGTCTGGCAAATCGCTGCTCATTCTTCAAACTCCCTGCAAGTGTTTCTCTGTAAAGTCTTTCCTAATGATTTCTACACCTGAATTTGAGAAGATCCTTTTCTCCTTTATGCTTCTCCACTGTAACCTCATACACTTTTTTATTGTATACACTATACTATGTTAATATTGATGTGTACTCTGTCTCGCTTCTATGCTCTGAACTCTTCATGTCATATACCTATATCATCTACGTTCACACTCCAGGTGCCTTTGAAATTGATTGACACATAGAGGTTAGTAAGTGCTATGAGAATGAGTAAATTGAATAAGTAAATTTCTATGGTAAATCTCCATTGACTATGAAAAGGAAAGAATCTCTGTCCACCATCGAAACTCTGAACCAATCTCTTTTATATATCTTCATAAATAACTGATTCTGTATTTAACTTGTGTAGATACATGTAGCAGACTGAGGTTAAAAGTGTTATTTTGCCAGATGATGCAAAGTCTCATAAAACAATAAACTGGAGTTGTGACAAGCCTCAATGACTATTTAGTGAGGCCCATGGAACATGGCTGGAATAAATGCAATGAATGAACATGGCTTGTAGAAGGTCAGAATGAAAAAGGGGATGCTAATGCCACATGGCAAGAGGTCAAGTTGATAAAGATGATGAAGGGACATTTTTATAAATATAGAAATTGATTATTCAAGTAAAAGTTTTGTTTATATTTTTTCCAATTTTGTTATTGTTGTTTTTAAACATATCCTTTAATAGCTCCCTAAGAAAGGATGCACAGAAGCTAAATTTTTGGACGCTTTTCTTCTCTGAAAAATGCCTCTACTCTACTTTCATTCACATTTAATTAATAGTTTTGGTTGGATAAAATTGTATTTCAGAAATACAATTTTCGTCAGAATTTTGAAGATATTTCTTCTTTATGTTCCAGCTTCCGGTGCAAGCTGATATCTGAATCCATTCTGACTCCTAATCGCTTGTAGACAGCTTTCTTTTCTTCCTCTCTGGAAAGTTATAAGAATATTTCTTTTTTCCCCAGTTATCTAAAATGTCTGTGTAATGTGAGTTAGTGATATTTTAATGCACTGTGCTGAGCCCTAAATGGGCCCTTTTTGTCTGGAAACTCTGGAAAATTTTCTTGATTTCTTTAATGGTTTTCTTCTTAATATTTTCCTGTTTTCTTGACTTGGAATGTCCATCACTTATATGTTCAACTTCCTAGAATGAGCCACTAATTTTCTTATGTCTTCTTGCTTTTTCGTTGCTTGCATATATATATATATATATATATATATATATATATATATATATATATATATGTGCAAATATATATATGCGCATATATATGTGCATATATATATATATATTCTCTGAAAAAGTTCCTCAACCTTACTTACTAAACTTTTTACTTTAGTTCTTTATTTCTCCTTTTTCAAAAGTTTATTTTTGCCGTTTGTATTTTTTTCCTTTTTTATGGTTGTTGCTTTTAATAGCATCTTGTGTGGTTGAAGTATTCCTCTTATTTCTTTGATAAATTAATATTTCCTCCATGTTTCATATTAAGTTGTTTTTGCTTCTTTTGTGCTCTACACTTATTTAGGTGATTGGAACCCTTTGCACAAAGACAGAACTTCTAAATTATAAGCTTTACTACAAATTAATAGGGCTGTGTCATATATTGGGCAATTTTAGTATCTTTAGATTTTTTATTTTAGGCTGGCTGGACAGATCAAGAAAGGACATTCCAAACTCTTAATCAGAGGGTATAAGCACAACTGTCAGTATTTTAGAAGCCAAGAAAGACAAGTGTGCTAACGCTTTTAACCATACTATGCAAACTTTTTTAGAATTCTCTTTTTTCATGTGGTATTTTTCTATTACCCAACTTTTCCTAATGTCAAAGTCCTACTATATTAGACTTCCCAGAAGAACATAGTAAATAAAAACCAACAAACAAAAGTCCTAACTTCTAACTTTCTGCTGGCTGCAGGAGGGAAATTACCCAGTTGTGGTGAGCAAGGGAAGCTATCTGGGAATCTAATTCCTTTTTGAAGAATCTTCATTAACAGCCACACCATAAGCCTGCTTCCAAATCATGATGCCTTTGGAATTTCAACAATTCAAGTTAAATTCTGTCTTGAATTTTCTCATTGGACTTCCATTCCAAGTTGGATAATGGAAAAATACCACATGAAAAAAGATAATTCTATAAAAGTTTGCATAGTCATTGTTAAAAGCCCTAGCACTTTTGTCATTCTTGGCTCCAGTCTGCTATACCAGTGGCCATTTCTTTGTTGGCTTCCTAGCTCACAAAATGTTATTGCTTTCCTTCCAAGGAGGATGACATAACAGGGAAAAAAAGAATAACTTGATGGATGAGAAACCTCACAAACACTACCTCAGCCAAGTGATCAAGGTCGACTTTAACAGTCTCAAGTCATGTTGATAATATATACACTGGATATAATATGGAGAAAATGACCCTTTACCTCTTCAACATCTATTTACAAAATCAAAAGGCATCAGGAAAATATACTGATTGACAAACGTGCTTTTACCAAATACCTGACCAGTACTTCTCAAAACTATCAAAGTTACCAAAGACAAAAAGAAACTATCACAGTTAAGAGGAATCTAAGGAGCCTAAGGAGCCTAAGGGGGCATGACTATTAAATACATTATTAAATACAGTGATATCCTGGATGCAATCCTGGAAAGGAACAAATAGGTAAAAACTAAAGAAATCTGAATGAAGTATGAACTCTAATGACAATAAATTAATATGGTCAATTAATTGTAATAATGTATCATATTAATATAACATATTAATAATAGAAGAAACTTGGTATGGGGCCTATGAGAATCTCTGTACTATTTTTATAATTTATTTATAAGTCTAAAACTCTTCTAATAAATAAAGTTTATTTTAAAATATTGCTATTATTTCTCATTTTTTTCTTGTGAGTTTACATTGTTTCAAAAAAATCCTACTACTCTTATTTAGTATGGTTTTAAAAGAGATAAATGCAAATGCTCAGTCCACTGTCCTTACCTAGTTGTATCTAATATTCCATTTTAATTCATATACTCTATGGATCTATGATGTTACCCTATTTTAAACTCAAGTAAAACCTCCTGTGAATTTTGCTCAGCATATGCTCAGAGTAATGAGAAAAGCTGTAGCACAAAAATGGTGACACCAGATCATCAAAAACCTACACTAGCATGTTGTAAATTAAATAACGAAAATTTTGCAGGAAGTAGAAATCTAAACCAGAGGGTACTAGGTAAACAAAAAATACCTGGAAATTAAAAAAAAACTATATTGGGAAATAGTATTGAAATTTGGGTGGACATTTAATATGATTTCATTAGAAATTAAGATTCAAGTTGACTTTGTTTAGTTAAAATTTTTCATCCTTAACTATGTAACATTCAATTACTTTAGTAAACTTTTTTTATGGTAACAACTCTGTGTTCTATTTCTCTTATAAGATTTCTAGTCTGCTTGATACTGAATTTACAACAAAGTGGATACATTTAAAACCCTTCTGGCTGACTGATAAATGAAGAACATTTCTAAAATTAGGAAGGCATTGTATACTTGCTCCACCCTAAGCCATAGTTACTGATGCTGAATCCTTAGTTTTGCTGAGAGCACATTCCATCCAGTGAAAGGACACAGGCATTAATGACTTTTGAAAGTATTTCTTCAGTGGCAACTGAAACATTCTAGTCTCACCGAAATCCCATAAAACATGATTTCTATATAAGAAGTCCTGAAACTTTCCTTAACATGATTTGATATATTAGCCTAGAATGGTCAGCATGACTACAATCCAACAGAACTTTCATGTATCTCCCAAAAGACCCTCAAATCAAACAGACAAAAATGCCAATGCTCTACTGTGACTCTGACCAGAATTCCAAATGGTACAAACAGTTGGTACCACTTCACTATAAAAATACTAAGGAATCTTAACGATCATTCTATATTAAATGTTTCATTATTGGACACTTCTGTTTCAGATTCAACCTTGCAGTTTCATGATTCATGTTTCATGATTCTTGCCATGATTCACACATCATTCATCCCATTTCTTTAGAAATTCATTCTCTCCTTTGTCCTACACATATACACATGTATGCATATACATGTAAATCACATGTCAAGACCCTTGGTTTCCCAGTGATCAACTCATGGCCTCATATCCACCAAACCATGCTCTGTGCTTATAGTCAGTCTAATT
Source organism: Homo sapiens (assembly GCF_000001405.40). Lineage (NCBI taxonomy): Eukaryota > Metazoa > Chordata > Mammalia > Primates > Hominidae > Homo > Homo sapiens. The sequence continues at coordinate 104,378,512 of NC_000011.10, read as the reverse complement.
AAAGTCCTAGTTTTTCATTTGCAGAATTTGATTAAATTAGACATCTCAAAGAGGTGAAGGTTTTGACTGGTCAAAGGTAAACTCACTCTTTTCACAGTTACAATAATAAAAGTCTTACAGAATATGTTTAGTGAATATGTTTATATTTAAATATAAGGTGTAAGGTGAAGGAAGTCATCTCTATTCAGTGTGTGATCTATTAAATACCTGGCAAGTTATAAATGTACAAAGGAAACTTTAGGATCTCAAAATGTATATTGATACTGAGTTCAAACTCACTGTGTGCATGCTTTGCTTTAGACCATATTTAAACTTCCTGATCCCCAATTTTTTTCCTAGGAAAAAACAGACCTTAATGTGTAATAATTCAGGAAAATTACTAAATCTAAAAGGAAATATTACCATATATGTATGGTCTTTTGAAGTACTATCTAAGGTCACTTTTTGAAAACAGAATTTTTTGAAAAAACAATTGTACAGCACTAGAAAATTATTGAATTGGATGGAATTCTAGCTGATCATATTTCTTTTATGCTACTTATGAAACTATCCCACAAGTCCTTCAACCTGAATCTCTCTGGCTTTAGATTCCCTGAAATTAGCTGCTACTAAGTATTCAGCCAGATGCTAACATCTCACAAATCAGTTCTCCAAGGAATGGTAGGTAGGAAATTGCTCTTTGTTTAAGCTTTAGATCTAGTTTCATCTTCAGGGATTTCTAGGAGTTGAGCGATTATGTTCCCCTTATCTGTTCTCAGACACACATCTGTTAGTCATCAGCCAGACCCAGTCCCATTGAAACCGAAGGTTCAAAACTGCCCTCAAAGAAGCAGCAAATCATGCTAGGCAAATAAAAGAACTGAAAAAAAAAAAAGGCCGGGCGTGGTGGCTCACGCCTGTAATCCCAGCACTTTGGGAGGCCGAGGCGGGTAGATCATGAGGTCAGGAGATCAAGACCATCCTGACTAACCCGGTGAAACCCCGTCTCTACTAAAAATACAAAAAATTAGCCGGGTGTGGTGTTGGGCTCTTGTAGTCCCAGCCACTCTGGAGGCTGAGGCAGGAGGATGGCGTGAACCCAGGAGGCGGAGCTTGCAGTGAGCCGAGATCACGCCACTGCACTCCAGCCTGGGCAACAGAGCGAGATTCCGTCTCAAAAAAAAAAAAAAAGAAAAAAATGGTACAATTCTATCCAGAAACAAATATTATTGACCAAGTTCTCATTAAAACACAACTCTCAGGAATGTTTTCCTAAAACAAACATTTACTTTACATTACTTTTATTAAAGATAAATTAATCCTATTAACTTTCATAGTACTTGACATGACAGAGTTGGAAGTTCTATAATTTCCAGCGGCTTCAGACATTCCAGCAAAGATAAAATACGTTACCGGTAGCAATTATTTGAAGCATGGGGTTGCAGAGTTAAAAAAAAAATCACCAGTATAAGATGATAGTGTAAGAGGGTTCAGGAAGAAGACAAGTGGAGTTGAAGAAGGCATGTATCAACAAATACTATGATGTTTAATCCTTTGAGCAATCCCGGGAGGTAAGTACCACGGTGGTCATTTTGTGGATGGGGAAGCAGTTTTAAAGACGCTAAATCACTAGCAATAGCCAAGTCAGTACAGTTGATTCTCATTATTTGCATATAGTATTAAGAAGTCTGCTGTAGAAAGGCAACACCGGACAGAGTGCCATGGGACACAGAAGAAACTCAGTCTGGACAGGGTTAAAGTGAGACATTCTCTATTCTGTTCCTCATCGTGAGATATGTTACAGATATGTATCTCTGTCTGAGAGAAGTCACCCATCAAGCCTCTGGTACCCAGAGTGAACACATTCAGGTAATAGCTGTCCTCAGAGGATGTCATGTTAATGTCTTATTCAGCAAACAGTAGCCACAATTGTATAGCTGTTACTAAAGATTGCGAGTCATAATTTATTCTTTATTTATTAATGTATTTATATATTGCATTATTTCAAAAACTAATTTGTGGTGGCCAAGTCAGGAAAATGTTTTTCTTCTTTTTTTTTTTTTTTTTTTTTTGGCTCTGCTACAAACAAGTATCTTTGAGCAATTCAGTCAGCCCTTCTTGGACTCAATTTTCTCATCTAAAAATGAAGAAATGAATTCAAATTTTCCATGAAATCTCTTCTTTCATTTCTTTACACAATGCTCTGATTTCTTTAATATGCTCAATGAGAATTGAAAAAGACTGTCAATAAAATACCATATGAAGAAGGAGGCTATGTAAATGCAAAGTAATAATAATATAAATGCAAAACAATAATTATCCCTGAGTTCTGGCACTTTACTATCAGTGATGACATTAGTAGGTAGGTGATTCACAGGAGCACAGGGTCCTGATTAAGGCAATAATGAGGGTGACTTAGAAAAAGCAAAGCTAAGTAAACACAACATGAATAGGCAATAATTAAGTGGGTGAAGCCTATTTAAAAATCAAAGTTACAAGGTAAGAATAAATTTATGGTTTCCAAGAATGGGGACCAAAGCAGGATATAATGAAGAGAAACTTGGAGGAAATATACAGGCTAAATATGATCAAATATCCACAATAATACAAAATCCTAAATTCTGGAGGGCTCTGAATTATATAAATTGCTTCATAAAGTTTTCCAGGGTAAGACATTGGGGAACTTGAAAGACTCCACAAAGTAGTTTGCCCCCAGATAAGACTCCTCTTGCTAATATGCTTCCTAACCTCTGTGATCTGGATTCCAGGTGATCCCTAATAAGGGTTCACAACTGTTAACCTAAGGATACTCTCCCCTGAGGCTAATAGTTTCAAAGCCAGATGCCTTTTCTCTCTGGTGCTTTCAAGGTGACCTGGTTGCTCTAATTCTTTTATATGGTAGACCACTGCCCTTCCTCCCTCAATCCCAGAAATACAACTTAAGTTCAACTTCCATACCTGCCTGGCAGCGAGACCATTGCACACAGGAATAGGGATGAAGACGGCTGGACGAATGAAAGGAAAGGAAACACGTGAATTACTGTTTGACTTGACCCACAAATATAATCCCAAGTAATAAATCACCATGCAGGTGTAAATACTCTCCTCAGATGTGGGGATGGTAACCATCTCAGCCTGGTCTGTTCTTGGAGCTTGGATAAACCTCATTGAAGAACTGTAGATTAAGGTATTTGTTGAGTGAACTTTGTGAGAACTTTCTTATAATAAGGGCTTTTAAAAATGTTACCAATTTTTATATGTTATCACATTAATTCTTGCCATTTCTGTATGGTATTCACTTCAAAAAACCACAGTGTAGATACTGTTATCAAGGCGATTTAGTCAAGTCCTTTGTCTCAGATGTTTCAAGTCTTTGTCTCAAATATGACAGACAATAGTTAATTCAGCCAACTCAACAAAAAAATTCATTGATGAAATTCACTTAGATTACTGCTTGGCAAGATCTGAAGCCCTGCAAAAAACATTCTTTGGTGAAAGTTTTAATACTTTAGTTAATTGTTTTGGCATCTTATATTTATTTAAATAACTTAGTTATTGCATATTATATTTAAAGTATGAAATTACAACGAGTATTAGTTTCTAGTTTGATAATCACATTTCTTCATCGTCTTATCCAGATATTTTGGGAGATTCCTCATGTATTTTGAGAAATTAGCTCCTTTTAAAAATAATCCATTTCAAAATAAAACACACAATAATCACAAAATAAATCACAAAATAAAACGCAAAATGAATCACACAAATCAGATGTATGGTGAAGCCAAGAGGTCAAGAAATACAGCCTTGTCAACCATTACAGAGGCCCCTTTCCCGTGGTCCCCTCCAGTTTCAACCCTCTCCCTTCCTATATGCAATTAGTACCCTCACTTTTATAGTAATCACTTTCCTCTGTGTGTGTGCTTTAGCCCAGACTTGTCTTTCAAAATACCATCCTTTATCCGTGCCACTTTAAAATTTTGATTTAATGTATCCTTTAAATATACATCCTGTTCTTTATCTACACAATGTTTAATCTGTAGTTTCTCACAGTCTCTGGATTTTGCAGATTGCGTACTCATGGTACATTTAAATATGTTCCTCTGGGCTCTGTATTTTCTACAAATTGGTAGGTGAACTTGAGGCTTGAGCAGATTCAGGTTTGATCCCGCCAGCAATAGTACTGGTATTGTGTCCTTCCTAAATGAGGCCCATAAGGTCTGGTTGTCTATCATTTTGGAAATTTACATTTATGTCTCAACCTGAAATCAGCCACTTCTCCAAGAAGTTGTGATCTCCTTTTAGCAGGATGCAGTATTTCAAGACCATAATCTAGGCACTATGCATGCTAATAGGTACTGTATTGGCAGTGTGAACCGGTAAATGTTATGAACTGAATGTTCCCCATCTTGCAAATTCAGATGTTGAAACTCTTACCCTCAATGTGGCTGTATTTCCAGACGGGGCCTCTAGGAAAGTAATTAAGATTAAGTGAGGTCAAAAAGATGAGGCCCCAATCCAAGATGATTGGTGTCCTAATGAGAAGAGACACCAGAAAGTGACCCTTGCAACACACAAGGACACACACGTACACACACACATTGAGGAAATGCCATGTGAACACACAACGAGAAGGCAGCTGCAGTCTGTACTCCTAGGGGAAAGCCCTGACTACTACAATCCTTAATCTTAAACTTGCAGCCTCCAGAACTGGCCCAAAATACATTTCTGTGGTTTAAGCCCACTCAGTCTATGGTATTCTGTTATGGCAGCCCAGCCCAACCCAACCAAGACAGTAAATCTTGAGCAACCACATTTATACACACAAAACAAAGCAAAAAGCCCTGCTTTGTAGCATTCGATGGTCTCCTTGGTGTAAATATTCCCACTATGGCCAATTTCAAGTTACCAAGGTGAAATCTCTGAAAACAGAATTGCAAAGAAATGTGTACAACTAGGTCTCATGAGCTACATTACCTGTGTGTATCATCATTACATGGAACCTCTTTCCCTTGAACACTCATTTAGTGGGGACCTACAAGAAGCTGTGTTTAATGTTTACCACTAACATTTTGTCATTTTGTGAGTAGAGCTATCTGATCCACTCACAGATTCCGCTGGAAGGGCTCCTGGCAACAATGTTTTCTGAGTCCTTACAAGTTTATAATACTACTTTTTGCTTTTAATATTATGGAGCTTTGCTGATCAGGCACCGTGGTTCAGGCCTGTAATCCAAACACTTTGGGAGGATGACACAAGGTCATTGCTTGAGTCCAGGAGTTAGAAACCAGCCTGGCAACATGGGTGAACAAACCCCATTCCTACAAAAAATATGAAAATTAGCCAGGCATGGTGGTGTACACCTGTGGTTCCAGCTACTCAGGAGACTGACGTAGGAGAATCACCTGAGCCCAGGAAGTTGAGGCTGCAGTGAGCCAAGATTGTGCCACTGCACTCCAGCCTGGGTGACAAAAGAGGCCCTGTCTCAAAAAAAAATTTTCCCCTGTGAAAATATAAAATACGTGATCCCATTTTTTTCTGGCATACATTGATGCTGATAAAAAAGTTTGATAATGATCAAAATTTTTTTTTTCCTTTAGAATCACCTCCAGAACCCATACCCCTGATTTTTTTTTCCTGAATTTAAAAAAAAAAAAGTTAGACTATGTTTCAGTTTAGTGTTTTGTGGCTGGGTCAACTGTGTACTAAACTCTCAGATATGTATTGCACTTTTCCAACATGTAGTTTTAAATTCTTATTTTCATTTTAAGAAAATTTTATTAAATTATAATTTTTAGTGTTTCTTTTCAGCTTCCTCCTTCAGAGACTTCTGTTTTCTCATTTTTGTCTGCTCCATTAGTACTTGAAACCGTCTCTCAGATGCTTTTTATTACTTTTCAATTTTTTTGTTTTTTCCTCCATTTATTCTTTTAAGGAATTTTCTGATGTGTTTCTCGTGTTCTTTCTATTTTATTCTCTGTTTCTATCTGAAGTGATGTTTTTTATTTTATATCTGCTTTCTTGTGTTCTACCATCTCATGTGGATTTGTGAATTGTAAATTAATTAATTAATCAATTAATTTGAGACAGTCTTACTCTGTTCCCCAGACTGGAATGTTGTGGCATGATCCCAGATTACTGCAGCCTCTGCCTACCAGGTTCAAGTAACTTTCATGCCTCAGCCTCCTGACTAGCTGGTATTACAGGCACACAGCCAGACACCCAGCTAATTTTTGTATTTTTAGCAGAGATGGGGTTTCACCATGTTGGCCAGGCTGGTTTCAAACTCCTGACCTCAAATGATCTGCCTGCCTCGGCCTCCGAAAGTGCTGGAATTACAGGCATGAGCTACCATGCCGGGCTGAGTTTATTCTGAAATAACAGTCATACTCTTGAGCATATCTTTATGAGTGGTAGGTATATTTATTGCTAGGTATACTCTTATTTTCTTGTTTTCTTATAATAATTTGTACAGAATTTAACCCTGATGCATTTTTGTTCATTTTTATATGGTACAGTTTTTTTCAAACTTTAGAAAAATGTGGGGTTTAGAGAAGCTTTTCTAACTTTATAGAACTTTTTTTTATGTAGTGTTTAGAAATGTGGGGACTTTGTGAGCATTCTAAACTCTGTTTCACTTCCATCTCCACTTTTGTTTTTTCTCCTTTTTTTTTTTTTGAACAGTTTCTCCTATCTCCTTTATCCCTAGCTTGCTAAATTTTGAAGCTGCTTCCAATAGTTTTTCCTGAGAGTTAGGGAAACCAAAGGAAAAAAAAGTCAGTTTTGAAGTTTCACAAAAGCTGTTAGACTTCCCTGTTCTCATCATGCCTTCTTACAGTCAGCCCCTTGCACTCTGTTGTTACTGGAGTGGGGAAGGTTCCTCCCAATACTTGCTGTTTTCAAATTAACCTGAAGCTCTTTCCAGATGTCACTGTTTTGGAATTCTCCTATTCTCAGGTCCATCAGCCTACTTGGTTGGTTTCCAGTTTTCTTCCATATAGATGTTAATAACATTCAGCCCTTTCGATTGAGAGCCTGCTTGGTTTTTGATACCTTGCCCCCTAGTTATATTGTGTATAATCTCTGTGGAGTTTTGGTTTTGTTAACTAGCCCCTCAGTCTGGAGATTTAAAGAGACTCCAAAGCTATGCTGCCACCACTGCCACTTTTTCAGAATTGATCAGCACTGGATCTTTACCTTATATACTCTTGCAATTCTTCTGGTAATTATTTTTTGTACCAGATCATCTACTAATGTTTGGTTGTGAATAATGTGATGTGATTATTTATTTTCCCATGCTAACAGGTAATAACTTAGGTCATAACCCCAAACATCAAGTTAAACAGAATTGACACTGTAGCATATGCAACATTAGATAGAAAATGGTTAAAATAGGGAAAACATTTCTTAAGAGCAGTTTAGTAGGAATTTAAATCTAAATTGTATTTTTAGAACATTTTTGCAAATGTAATTGGACATATACACAGAGATCGGTGAATTTTCAGCAGTGTTCAGAATAGATAAATATTAGAAGCAAGCTAAATGTTTATCAATAGGAGATTAGTGAAAGCATATCATGCAACCATTTAAAATGACTCCACATAGCTATACTCAATACTTAAGGGAAAAGTTCTGCAATTATTCTTTTCCAGACTTGTTAAAACACAAGGATATTTTATAGGAAATACGTATATATGCAGGTATTAGTCTGTTTTCATACTGCTATAAATAAATGCCCAAGAGTGAGAATTCATAAAAGAAAGAAGTTTAATTGACTCACAGTTCTGCATGGCTGAGGAGGCCTCAGGAAACTTGCAATCATTGCAGAGGAGGAAGCATGCCTTATATGGTGGTAGTCGAGAGCGTGAACAAGGAGGAACTGACACCTGTAAAACCATCAGATCTCATGAGATCTCACTCACTATCACAAGAACAACAGAAGGGGATCCACACCTGTGATCCAATCATCTCCCACCAGGTCCCTCCCTCCACACATAGGGATTATGGGGATTATAGTTCAATATAGGCAGTTCAATACAGTTCAATTTGGGCAGGGACACAGAGCCAAACCATATCGAAACAAATATATACATATACATATACATATACATATACATATACATATACATATACATATACATATACATATACATAGAAAGGTATCATTGACTTCTGGTGACGTAATTTCTATTGATAAAAAATATTTTTGTATGGCTTTATTTTTCTACATGATAGTGCATCACTTTTATATGCAAGAGAAGTATAAAGCTCCTTTCATTAGGAGGTGGGGAAGAAAAAGAGCATTGGAATTCAACAGATCTCATAACAAATACAATCATCTTCATTATTTGCAGGCTCCACATTTGCAAATTTGCCTACTTGCTGAAATTTATTTGTAACCTCAAAATCAATATGCACTTCACTTTTGCAATCACTCACAGGCATGAGCAGAGTGGTGAAAAATTTGAGTTCTCTGAACAGCATGTTTCCAGCTGAATTCAAACAAGGCAGCACTCTGCCTTCCTGTTTCATCTCTCATACTGTAAACATGTGTCCATTTTGTGGTCTATTTATGCCATGTTTTTTGCATTTCGTGCTTCTTGTTGATGACTTGGCTGCTTAAAACGGGCCCTGATTATAGTGCTGAAGTGCTATCTAGTGTTCCTCAGTGCGAGAAGACTGTCATGTGCCTTACGGAGAAAATAGATGTGTTAGATATGTTTTTTGCAGGCATAAATCATAGTGCCTGCTGTGAGTTCAATATTAATGAATCAAAAATATATATTAAATGAGGTATCTTTAACTAGAAACACACAAAACATAAGGTGATTGATCAATTGACAAAAACGTTAGAACCAGAAACCTAACCCTCTATTTCTTCTAGGAGCAATGGTTCTGTATTTGCTACTTCAGTGTTTATGAAGACTTTATGTGTAGTGCTCAGCCTTGTTTTGCCCCAGTTTTCAAATTTGAGATTTTAGATGTCTTTTTTGGATGACTTCAATATGTTCTTCAGAAATGCTTGCTATTTGCTTTGTTTGTCAACACTGGAAGGTTTGTGCATTTTATCTGTAATATTTTCTTAGAGAATGGGCTTTTATTTTAAAATATTTCCCATTGATGCTCAGGCTACAAAATCTCCTTGGGACAAAAGCATGATGTCATGTAAACCTTTCTTTATGTGACCTTCCAGTGTTAGCCATGCTTAAAATTTTACTTGGTTGAAACTGCTAAAGAAGAATGTCTGGTTAGGTACCTCATTTCCTTACGTAGGAAGCTGCATTGGTCAGATCCTGCTGCTATAACAAAATACCATAAATTGGACAGCTTATAAACAACATAAATTTATTTATTGTAGTTCTTGTGTCTGGAAAGTGCAAGATCAAGGTGCCCAAAGATTCATTGTCTGGAGAGAGCTTGCTTTCTGGTTCATAGATGGCAGCTTCTCTATATGTCCTCACGTGGAAAAAGGGGGTGAGGATCTCTGTAGAATCTCTTTTATAAGGGCACTAATCTCATTAGTGAAGGTTCCAGCCCCATGAACTAATACCTCCCATGGACCCCAGCTTTTAATACTATCATCACATTGGGGGTTAGCATTTCAAAATGTGAATTTGGGGGATGGGCTGTAGAAGCATTCAGACTACTGCACAGCATAAGACAAATATTATAAATGTTGCTTTTTAAATTTAGAAGTAGAGGAAATATGCTTGAGCTACTCAAGACCAATATAATAATAGTTCACAATTACATTATTTTGGGAAACAGTATCTGATTCATTTATTGTAGAATTTTGAAATGCTAAAAGCTAAAAAGTTATTAACTAAGCTATTAGGATTAGTATTAATTAGATATTTAGAGTGTAGTAACCTCTTTGGTAAGTTCTATGTGTTTCTAAAAGAGATATAGTACATAATTGTGATTACGCCAGATTTTTAAGCTTTGTCCTTGACATATGAGTGGGATTTAGATATTCAGATATGATCAAATAGGCATGCCAGATGAGGAAGAATCCACAGGAAAAGTCAAAAGAAGGAAAATAATCATGTTGTATGTTGGAAATAGTGAGATGTTCTACCTGACTAAAGCTGCATTTCATAGAATAATAGGAAATTATTAATGCACTTGAATATAGGATTCCAGAAATGTTTGTATCCTTGACACCTAATTGCTCAACAGTATCAGTTGAGTTAAAGTGATCTAAGAGATATGTTCATCCTAATCATTCATTTTGCAAAGAAGGAAACTTAAGCCTGGATAAGTCAGGTTACTTCTGCAAATCCCACTTGAAACAAATTGCACACACTCACCAATATCTCCTAATTCCTGTTCCAGTGCAATATCCAATACTAAAATGTTCCAGAAGGTATAAGTCATTTAATGTTCACCCACCCAAAATCCACTAGAGGCTTATTATAAAGATTCTGTTGAAGGCAATACAAACACAGAAAAACTGAAATCTCCTTAGAATACCTTGTAAAAAAGGAAGGGAACCATTTCAAATGAAGGGGATATGACTGATTTAGTCTTCCATAAAATCCATAGTACAAAGAGGCTGAGATTTTTTAAGACTATGGGTTCAGGCTCCAATAGCAGCTTTTCTCCAAAGGAAAACAGGTGAAACACCACAGCTCAACTAGTGTATGCTAAGTGGTGGGATGACTCGTCAAAGATGTCCAGATTTACTGAACATTTTCTGCCCTTAGAACAATATTGGTATTGGTAATGCCTATCAGTATCGAGGGGAAAGGTCATTCACTGTAAACCTTTACTTCCATGTCTTCTCAAGGAAATCAAAGTGTATCAATACAAAGTGGAAAATGCCCTTCCATCATCAGCTAATTGTTCTATACCCTTCCAGACATCCAACTCTTTCTAAACAGTGGAATGTGGCAAATGCAATAGTTTTCAGATCTTTGGCATGTTTACTGTGAGTGTTAAGCTGATCATCTGAATTTCTCATTTCACAACCATGTGTTTTGTTTTTTCAAAATGTAGAAAACAGGTTTTATAGTACCCATTTTTCTCAAGGTAAATCTCATGGTACTATTTTTATTTCAAATCAATATCTCCTTTACGTTTGTTGTATTACTATTGTTTGTTTATAGCTTTCCCTATTTTACCCTGACACCTATACTAAAAAGAATTAACCTGTGTGGCACACTGAAACCTGAAGCAAACTCCAGATTCCATTGCCTTCTAAATAGTTAATTCTGAGTTAAGTTTTGACCCTGTTGCTCTGATTTTACAGTATCCACAGTGCCTAGTACCAGTAGGTACTCAGAATATTTGAGGAACGAATTACTATCATGTCCTTAGACGTAAAGCACAAAGAATTCCTAGTAAAGGATGGAGCTGTAATTGCAAAGAGAAAAATAATAACAATGACATCTTTCATGTGTAGGTCACAAGAGAACTAGCTCGCTGTGTGCACTAAATATTTTTCTAGCTGTGTTTTTTATAGATTTTCCAGAGACCCCATCAGCCGGGAAAGCAGGTGTTTTACAGGTCCAAAGAAGTTCATAAACTGACTTAGAGTTGCATATTCAGTAAACAAGTGTTCAAACTCCTGACTTCAAGTCCATTGCTCTCTACAAGTCCACTATAACAGGCTACGCTCAATTGTTATGGGCGTCACAGACTGCAACAATTTGTTAAATACTTCAGGATTTTGTCTTTAACATAAATAATTGATATGAAATCTAGTAGCATTGGTATTTTGAGCATTTGACTGGTAACCTACTTGAGGAAGACAGTCATTGTGAGAGGTGACAACGTGCTAGCAACCCTCGCTCGCTCTCCTCGCTCTCAGGGCCTCCTCAGCCTCGGCGTCCGCTCTGGTCTCGCTTGAGCAGCCCTTCAGCCCGCCGCTGCGCTGTGGGCGCCCCTCTCTGGGGCTGGCCGAGGCCGGAGCCCGCTCCCTCTCCTCGCGGGGAGGTGCGGAGGGAGAGGCTCCTGCAGAAGCGGGGCCTGCGCGCGGCCGGAGCGCCAGCGCGGGTTCCGGGTGGGTGCGAGCTCCGCGGGCCCCGCACTGGGCGTGGCCTGCCGGAGCCTGCTGGGCTTGATCAGGGGATGAGCTCCCGCTGGGCTGCCTGACTGCCTGTGGCGAGTGCCAGTGAGAGGTGAAGCTGGCTGGGCTTCTGGGACGGGTGGGGACTTGAAGAACTTTTCCCTCTAGCTAAAGGATTGTAAAGGCACCAATCAGCACTCTGTCTAGCTAAAGGTTTGTAAACGCACCAATCAGGGCTCTGTGTGTAGCTAATCGGGTAGGGGACTTGGAGAACTTTTCTGTCTAGCTAAAGGATTGTAAATGCACCAATTAGTGCTCTGTGTCTAGCTAAAGGTTTGTAAAGGCACCAATCAGCACTGTCAAAACGGACCAATCAGCACTCTGTAAAACGGACCAATCAGCTCTCTGTAAAATGAGCCAATCAGCTCTCTGTAAAATGGACCAATCGGCAGGATGTGGGTGGGGCTAGATAAGGGAATAAAAGCAGCCCACCCAAGCTAGCAGCAGCAACCCGCTAGGGCCCTTTTCCATAGTGTGGGAGCTTTGATCTTTCACTCTTCACAGTAAATCTTGTTGCTGCTTGTTCTGTGGGTCTGGCAGCCTTTATGAGCTGTAAACACTCACCACTGAGGTCTGCAGCTTCACTCCTGAGGCCAGCAAGACCACAAACCGACTGGAGGAATGAACAACTCCAGATATGCCATCCTAAGACCTGTAACACTCACCGCGAAGGTCTGCAACTTCACTCCTGGAGTCAGCAAGACCACAAACCTACCAGAGGAAGAAACTCCAGACACACCTCAACATCTGAAGGAATGAACAACTTCAGATGCGCCGCTTTTAAGAACTATAATGCTCACCACGAAGGTCTGTTGCGTCATTCTTGAAGTCAGTGAGACCAAGAACCCACCAATTCCGGACACGTTGGAAGTTCTAAAAAGTTTTAATAGAAAGTATTAACAGATTTATCTAAATATGTGTCATGTGTCAAAAAAATTGTGACATATGTTAGTGGCTGTTTTTGTTTATGTCCCTCAAGAAGAAATCCCATCCACTGTGTACTTAAAATACGCAAATTTTCAGTTATAAAATTTTTAGTCAGACCACATGACACAGGAGGGCAATGTTATATAAAACACCTGCAGAGCAGACTAGCCTTCCTTGTTCCTTGTTATAGAAAATATACCTGCCAGAAACTAAAATAGCAGCTTAAATATGATAAATTCATAGAAAATTTTGAAAACCATGCAAGAACTCTCCTCTGTTTTTATTTTCCTAAACTTATAATCAGGCATCATATTTGTCTTGCTATTTCAGAGATGTACATCCTCTTCCAAAACTGCATAGGGGACAGATGCTCTGCAGTGAGCAAATATCAAGGAAATAATGAATTGGAAGTGACAAATGCCTTCAGCCAAAAGTCCAAAGGGAATCATCATCTTGAAATCATACATAGCAGAAGGAGCCAAGGAATGAATGAAATGGCAGAAGTGTCCCTGTTAATCCAAAAATTAAGCTCAGAGGTTGTGTTAGGCTAAGCTAATCGAACCAATCATGGTCTTTCATTTTGAATTAAAGCCTATTCATAAATAGAGGACATGCTGGAATATTCTCAACTGGATTAGGGGACACAAGACAGCTGAATCAGCAGCATGATCAAGAAATATTAGAGTAATGGGGATTTATTGAGCAAGGTAAGTAGATGTGGCTCTGTCTCTGTAAGACTTTACAAATGAGGACTGACAGCACTGATCTGGGAAAACTTGTCAAAAACAGAAGATTGATGGGGTGGCATTATGCTAAGAGCAGTTTAGACAGTACTGTGTGTAAATGGAGCTTCTACCTTCTGGAAACTTAGAATCCAAGAAATATAAAAAATAGAAAAAGGCAACAGTCATCATCATCATCACTTGTGCCATTTCTTGAGCTGTTTGATGGTGCTAAGTAATAGGGCAGGAGCTTTACATGCATTGTCTCCTTCAACCCTCACAACAGCTCTAAAAGTTTTCTTCTCCATTTTACCATTGGAGAATCCAAGGCTTAGCGATCTCTTGCTCTAGGTGTGTAGTCAATAATGGGTGGATTCAAAAAGATCTCACTTCAAAGCCTGTGAGGTATTCGTGTATGTTACTGCCTCCTGAATAAGTCACAAATATATTGGATTATTAATAAAAGAACAAAATTACTAATCCCAGACAGAACTGGATAGTGATAACAATGTGTTGCCTAAATCACAAAACAAGAAGAAAAAATCAGCCCATTTATTAATAAAATTGCTATTTATGATTGCACAGAGAGGGGGTATCTAGCATATGCATTGACCCTAATTATAATTGCTATTGTGTGAAAACACTGAATGTGTCTAAGTTGCTACTTTGAGAAATGTAAAATAAAAATGCAACTCTATTCTCTCTCAATGTCAGATACCAATGACTGCAGTGAACAAAATAGGTTTTAATATAATCAACCAGTGTTTAATAAATAATTAGGGATGTTAAGATAACCTTAACTAATGAATTTCCTATTAATGTCTCTTTACTTATTAAACCCCATAGCCTTTAGCCAGTAATAGAAATACCAAATCTAAATTAAGGGCAGGCATAACTTATTCAGACTTTTTCAAATGAATGTGTTATATACCCTCAAGAAGAATCTAGAAGTTTCTGAATACACACAAAGACAAAGCAGGAATTCTCAAATAATCATGAATGAAAAAAGGATAACAATTTTTCAGTCAAATCACCTAAATAAACTACACTGCTCTATAGAACAGTATACATTAGGGCCAGATCAATCTTTAAGAAGGAGAAGATGAGAATAGGAAATAGTAACACATATTTATTGTTTATTGCAGCTAACATTTTTTCATTGTAATTTCTCTTTTAAGACTGTTAGAGTAGGTAAAATTAGCTAATTTCATTAATGAAGAAATTGAGCCATAGAGGAGCTAAGTGATTTCGCAAAAATCAGAAAGTCATGAATGGTAGTCCTCATGTTGTAGTGTTTTTGTTTTTGTTTTTATTTAGAGTTTGATGCCTTAAAAGTGAGAGAGGAGGAGAAAGTTTAAGTAAACAGCTACTACAGTTCCATTTTTAGCCTGAATTGGACTGTCTTTCAGTTGAAATTATGGAAATTAAAAAGGGGAGTCAAAATGGGTAGATTTACTGGAGGGCTTCTGTTTGGGGCCAAATATTTCTATGACAGCCACATGAGGCTGCTGCCATTCCTTGCTCCATCACTGGTATTAGAGTAACATTTTGCACAAAAATTGGTTACTGTTTCCCCAGACTCCTGTATTTTTTTTTTCAAGTGCCAAAAGCCATTGTAGGAAAGAATTTAAAACTCTTTTTTAATAGAAATGAGTGGCCATCAGCCAAAAGTCTAAATGAAATTGTCATGTAGAAACTCTGAACAGCAGCATGAATACGCAGTCAAGTTTTATGCAGGGAACAAAAAGGGCTGATGGTGTAACATGGTCAATAAAATTAACAACAACACACATCCAGAGACCAAAAATGTTTCTCATCTGATCTATGCAATAATTTAAATGTACAGCATTCAACTATAAAAACTGAATCTATTTTCACTTAGGATGTAGAAAACTGCAAAAAATTTTCAATCAAAAAACAAGACAGATAACCTACAAAACCATAATTTTTTAGAGCATATCAGATAGTTCAGATCATAAGGCAACCAGGAAAACTGAGATCAATGAGTTGGTAAACCTCCTAGGAGAACAGGATACGTAAACTGTTACATCTTTGGCATAGCATGGAAGTAACTGGCCACCACAGAAGCAGCTGAGAAAAAAGGCTGAAATGTAAACACCTTCTTAAAGTCTTAATATAGAGTGCTTCTGGAGAAAAGGCAGGTAACTTTTCAACACCCTAGACATGCTGATTTCAAGAAGTTGTTTGGTACTGGAGGAGGAACAAGAAATTCTATCCTGACACAGCCATCTGCTGCTGGGGTTGGGGTAGGAAACTCCTTCTAGGTTATTGTCCTAAAACAAGGCGCATTTTTGCTGCAAATGGGGGAGAAACAGGACTCTCATTTACCCTAGTCTCCTGAGATACAAAGTTTAGGTTTGTTGCCCTTTAAGAGGAACAGGAAATTTGTTTACTTTCTGGACTCTAGGTTGAGTAGGAAGAGAGGTTACTTGCATTTGAGAAAGGGCAGAAATGCTTAAAAAATAAAAATAAAAAAAAGGCTGTCTCTACATTTCACATGAAAACTGCCCACTCAGGACTAAGGCAAGAAGAGAATAAACAAGAAGCATCTTTATCCTCACCATGAGACTTCAACTGATATGAAGCAAGAGCAATATATCACAGGGGAAGGGTGAGAACATGGCACAGGCATGAAGAATTCAATGAAACATAAAAGCAAAACAGGAACACTAGGAGAAGCTCTCCAGCATCCCACACCTCACGGTAAGCACAAGGTAAGCACTAAATCACCACTGGAGATATTTGAAGCCTGTGATGTGCTCAATTTGACAGTGAAAGCAATCACAAGGCCAAATATAGTTCAAATTACAGAAAATATTTACTCAATCTCTCAACATAAGTCTGGGAGAAGAAGAAACATGTGCTTTTCCAGGAAAAGATGGTATTGACTTCAGCCTCTATTATTTTTACATGCAGTGTCCAGCATTCAATTGAAAACCAGAAGACACAGGAAACACATGGAAAAAAAATGCCCCATCATCAAGAAGTAAAGTAGTCATTAAATCAGATGGTCCAAATGTTGAAATGGTCAGATAGGTAGTTTAAATAACTAAGGTTAATATGTTAAAGGATCTCGTGGAAAAGGTAAACAACGTGCACGAATATATAGAGGACTTCATCAGAGAGATGCAAACAAACAAACAAAAAAAGAAACAAATTGAATTATTAGACATGAAAACACAATATCAAAAGAAACCAATGTCTGTGATGTGATTATCCACAAACTGAACACATGAGAATAAAGAATTCACAAGCATTAAGATGGATCAGTAGGTATTATTCAAACTAACACCAAAAGAAAAAAAAAAAAGCAGACGAGAGTATCAGAGGCCTTGGGACAAGATCAGTCTAATATATGTATACTTGCCATAGAAAAGGAAGAAGCTCCAGATGGACACAATAAATATTTGAATAGATAACATCCTAACATTTCCAAATTTCATTTAAGGTAACACCAAAGATCCAAGTAGCTTAGATAATGCCAAGCAGGATAAATACAAAGAAAAACTAGGTGCATCATACTTAGACCGTTAAAAGAAAAAGAAAAACTATTGAAGGCAGAAGGAGTACAAAGAAATATTACATAAAGGAAATCAATGGTAAGAATTTTAGCTGACTTCTCATCAAAAAGCAATGAAATCAAGAAGTCAATGGAATGGCATCTTGGATGTGTTGAAATTTTGTAAAAAGAATATTAGTGTTCTACTAGTAAAAAATATCCTTCAAAAATCAACATGACATATAAACACCTACAGAAATATAAATACAAAATAAATTCATATCCAGCAAAGTCACAAGACAAGAAATGCTAAAAGAAATTCTCTAGGTTAAAGCAAAATGTAATCATAAAAAGTCCTTTTATTTTCAATCTGTTCATATCTATATAATTAATAGATGAGTCTTACTTAAAAAAAAAACTATGGTTGGATTGCACACATTTTTTATCCAGGTTAACAGTCTTTGCCTTTAAATTGAGACTTTATTTCAGTTATGTTTAACTGAAATATTGATATATTTGAAATAAAGCCTTGACTTTTAATTTCCATTATGCTATCTTCTTTTTGTTTGTGTTATTTTCATCCCTTTATGTAGATGAAGCATTTTTTTAACTTTTTATATTGAAATAATTACACATTTACAGGAGGCTGCAAAAATAGGACAGAGAGGTGACACATATCCTTTATGCAGATTCCCTCAATTTTTATTACATCTTACATTACTGTAGTACAACATCAAAACTCAGAAGTTAACATTAGTATGATGTAGGTATATATTTCTATGTCATTTACAGTTGTGTAATAATTACTACAATCAAAGATACAGAACCATTCCATCACCACAAAGATCTTCCTCATACTACTCCCTTAAAGTCACACTCATTTCTATCCCTTCTATTATCCCTAATCCTTGGTGGCTATTAATCTGTATTTTATGTATATTATTTTGTCATTTTTGAGAATGTAATATAAATAGCATATAACCTTTAGAAATTGGCTTTTTCACTCAGCCCAATACATTTAAGATCCATCCAAGTTGTTGTAGTTTATTCCTTTCTACTACTGAGTAGTATTCTATGGTATGAATATACCATATTTTATTTAATTATTCACACTTTGAATGATATCCAGATTGTTTTCAGTTTTGGGCGGTAACAAAGCTACTGTGAGCAATCATGTACAGGTTTTCGTGTGGATATAAGTTTTCATTCTCCTGGAATAAATGTAGTACAATTGCTGGGTTGTATAAGAGTATGTTTAATTTTTAATAAATTGATAAGCTGTATTACTTTACATTTGAACCTATAAAATATGAGAGATCCAGTTTATAAACATCTTCACTCAAATTTGCTAGTCACTACTTTTTAAGTTTTAGCTATTCTAATAGTTGTGTAATGATATCTCATAATGGACTTAATTTTTAATTCCCTATTGGTTAGTGATGTTGAACACCTTTTCATATGCTTATTGGTAATCTCTATATCCTCTTCAGTGAAATATCTTAACTTATTTTGTCCGTTTTCTAATTAGATATTTCTGTTTTTCCATTGTTGACTTTTGAGATGACTTTACTGTATAAAGGTCAAAAACAGGCAATATTGCTTAGAAATACATGTGGGTAGTAAAATTTTAAAATAATGCAAGGAAATGATTTTCATGCAATTCAGGATACTTGCTAATGCTAAAGGGGAGAGATAAAGTTGTGATGAGGATGGCGCAAGCAAAGGCTCCTTGGTTGCAATCAGGGTTCTCTTTCTTGACCTAGCTGTGCTTTTTCTTGACACTGGTATTGACTTTTTTATCACTGTTTGTTAAACTTATCCTCATGTTGTGTGCTCTTTCCTTTAATGTCTATTGTGAGTTACAGTATTTTTTTTAATAATAACAAAAAATACTAGGACTCTGGAGCATTTACTAATTATCAGACATTGTCCCAAATACTTTCTTGAATTCACTGTGCCATTTAAACCTACCATCCCTATCAGTGATCCCAAGAAGTAGCTACTATTATTATTCTATTTTATGGATAAAGAGGCTGAGGTTCAGAATGTCTAATTTCTTTGAGGTAGCATGGCCAGTAAATGTCATAACTCAAATAAGCAACTCCTCCTGTCTGACTCCAATGGTTACGTTCTTACTCATTATGCAAAAATAACCATTTTATTTATTAGAACAATAATAGCCAGTGTTTATTATTTCAGCTCTGATTGTTATTGAAGATTTGAAACATATAAAAATTGAGAAAATAACTCATTAATAGAAAGCCACAAAAGCTATGGTAATGCTATTTTTGAGATAGAATATTTTTATTTTAATAATTAGTGATTATATGAACTCTAGCTCTTACAATTAATTATACAGGAAAGTGATCATTCCACTACCCTATGTTGCATCTACTGAATGAATTAAGACACATATACATGCCATTTTCTATTATAGTAAAAATTAAATATCAGTTTCTTTTGTAACCACTTTACTCAGAATTGATGGCATGGGTATCATTAGATTTGAGAACCCCATGATGATGCCTATGGACAGTACAGCTCATTAGCAAAAAGTCTCTAACCAACCTCTAATAAACTATACTCCTGTTGATCTGTGGCTGCTTTGTTCTTCAGGCTTCTCTCCTAGGAATTTAGAAAGAGATATGTATCAGTTCATATTTATTAGCTCAATGACTATAGAACTCTGACTTGCTTCAGGCCATGCAGTAGTTATAGAAATACAGAGAAAAATGAAACTTTACTCCTACCTTCACGGCCTAGTGGAAGAACAGATTATTTAAGGTATATCCATAATGAAATGTGAGAAGTATGATGAACAAGCTGTGCACGGAGTGTTATAATAACCCAGACAACTCCTAACCCAGGCTTGAGATGCCATAGACATATTCCAAGGTAATGCTTATCATTTAAGTATAAATAACTTTATTAGTATGTGTATTTTTTGTGTAGAAGTTTTACAGATACAGCAAGAAAGGAAATTCCACATTGAGAAAAAAATATAAATAAAGATATGAAATTGAATGAAAATATGGAAAAAGCAAGTACCCAGTAACAAAACTACAGTAGTAGCCAGGGGCCAGATAGTGGAAGAACTTGTATTCCTTATTAAAGGCATTGGACTTAAACCAATTGCTATTTGATGGGATATTATTAATTAATTTATTTAATTTCAGGTTTAAAGAGATTTAGACTTTCCCTCCAAAACATGGGAGAATTTGTCTCTTTTGGAATATTTTGTATATGGATTTATCACAGAGTAGCATTTCATGAAATAGATGCACCACGATTTGTTATACATTTATCTGTTACTGGGCATTTGATTTATTTCCATATTTGGCTATTAGAAATAAAGCTACTCTTCCTAAAAATATGTTTGCATAAATTATATTGTTAAGTAATACAGAGGTTCAAAGTGAACAGAAATTCAGATTTGTAACCTCTATATAAAATTCAGATTATAGAAGAGGAAAAATGGCAAGTTTAAAACTTATAAAGTATAATAAAGTACATAATTATAATTAAATTTATTTATTAAACTGATATTGATCAAGACTAGTGTATGTCAAGTGCTGGGAGAGGTATTGGGTTTGCCATGGTGAATGAAATAGGCATGATCCAACTCTCATGGAGCTTATAGTTCAGTGTGAATAAATTCAAATATTGAAACAAAAAACAAAGCAAACGTCAAATGCTAAAACTTTTATTAAAGCTCCTCTGTCACGAATTAAGGTATCTCAATGGTTAGAACAGTGCATGGGTGTTTCCAAATATCTTTGAAATCCATCCCTCATTCTATTCATCTATCCTTACAATGCCTTACTCTAGGGACTCCTTATGTGGGAACTGCGTCTCTGATTTTACATTCAAAGATAAACTAGCAGATGGGACAATACTCCGTAATGCTGGAGCTACACACTAAAGAAATAAGACTTTTTATGTGGATTTACATTTATTTTGGAAATCAGAAAATTAGCAAGCATATTTGCAGAGTTATTTCATTTAAAAATTTACAAATGTATACTTTGAATTTCAGATAAAGGGGACTTTTTAAAGTAAGAAAATGTTTACATCGGACATAATTAATATGTAAATATATCAAATTTCTTAAACCAGTATACCATCAGTGAAGGCAAGTAGACTTGAAAATGACAAATTAATGATTAGCTATCATCAGGTTACTTTCTCTTTTTTAGGTATTAAGGGACAAGTTTTAGATATATAATCTGATTTTATGCACAAAACCCTATCAGGTAAATATTATCCCATATATGTTGCCAACAGGAAAGCTCAGGCTTAGTTTTGTACAAGGACACAACAGGTAAGTGATGGTGCTGGAATTTGAACCCAGTTTCAAAATGGTTCTCATTTCCTATTTTTATGCGTTAGTTTGCCTCTTATTCCTTCTTAGAAAGAGCAGATGATCTTTTTTTCAGATGTGTTTCTTCTAAGTAACTGGAAAGGACAAGTAATCTAAAACTATTATTTTTACATCTGGATATTATAATACGGAATTAGAAAGGGCCAAAGCCAGCATTAGAGAATATATGGCTTGCTCAGAATTTATTCATTTTAACATCTAGAGGAAAATGGAATAAAACCTTCCAGTGGCAACATTTAACTTCTGTGTTTCTACAAATTTGCATGCAAAGCATATTAATTATGCAATTATTCTAAAAAGCATGCATTAACAATTACTTGGTATCTTATAAAGGTTTGAAATGAAAATAAAAGCACCATAATAAACAAAAACATAAGAAACTTGGAGATTTTTATCATCATTATGAAAACAAAACCCTAAGTCACAGATGCATATTATTATTAAACCGTAAACTGAGTTTACAAAATTTCAAGTAGGCTAGAAATTTCTCTTATAACAACCTATAGCAAATAAGACAAACTTTAAATTCATGTCTTTACCTTTGGTTCCCACCCATCCAGGTGTCCATCAATAGAGCAAAGGGGTCATTCTGGAGAAAGCAAATGCTTCCCCCAGTCTTCAAGCAATGGTATAAGGGTTCTGCCCAGGAGAAGGCAGGCCATTAGGGCACAATTCCACAGCTCTATCTGAGGGGATGAACTTTATTTGGTACAGAGAGTGGAGAACTCCATGCTTAAAGGTTTTGTCCAAAACAATGAAGATCTCAGTGGTGAGCAAGTAAGAGAAGGCTGATAGCTCCATGATACAAGAAAAATGACGGAGTAGCCAGAAGTTTCATAGCAAGAACCAAGAAAAGAAACAGCTAAGAAGAGCCCTCCTGAGATCACCATCACTCTTTGGGTCAGGAAGTCTGTGTGCATGTACTAGGTTACCTCCATTCAGGAGAAATCAGAGCTGGATACAGGGATGAACTGCAAGCATTCCCCAGTCTACACACAGACCCATCAACACAGGGCGAACCGTCACTGGCACAAGCAGCTTAAACAAAACTGATAAATCACACTCATCCCTCACAGTCTGGAAGGCTATGTACATTTCCAAAGTAGTGTCCTCTCATGAATAAATAGAGAATCTCCCAACTAGTAATCATCAGTAACAGAAAGTGAGGCAAAAATACATAAACTCCCTGAAGTGTGCTAGGAAGCTTTAAAACAGACACACACACACACACACACACACACACACACACTCCTAACTTTTGACCAATATGTGGCATGCCCAGGGGCAAAACCTAGGTGGCCAGATGGAAACCTAAAACTGAGGGAAAACAAATCTGAACAAGATCATCATAAGCTACATATTGCTGTGGAAATAAACTGCATGATTAGCTCAGCCAAGTCACTGAACAAATAAGCAAATATCCAAGCAAACAGCAACCACAACAACTCTGGGGGTGGGGAAGGGGTTGAAAAATCAGGATCCAGAGATTCTACAGCATATCATTCAGTTTTCCACAAAAAATATATGAGCCATACAAAGAAACAGGAAACTATTATCTATACACAGAAAATAAGCAGGTAGTAGAAGTCGCCTTTGAAGGGACCCAAAGGATAAGCTTAGAAGATAAACGTGTGAAAGCAGCTATTATAAATATGTTTAAGGAACAAAGGAAACTATGGTTAAATACCTAAAGGAAGGTCTGATGACAATGTTTTATCACACAGAGAATACAAATAAACACATGTAGGCTGGGCGCGGTGGCTCACGCCTGTAATCCCAGCACTTTGGGAGGACGAGAGGGATGGATTGCCTGAGGTCAGGAGTTTGAGACCAGCCTGGCCAAAATGGTGAAACCCTGTCTCTATTAAAACTACAAAAATTAGCCAGGTGTGGTGGCGCATGCCTGTAGTCCCAGCTACTTGGGAGGCTGAGGCAGGAGAATCACTTGAACCCAGGAGACAGAGGTTGCAGTGAACCATTGCTCTTCAGCCTGGCGACAGAACAAGACTCTGTCTCCCGGCACCCCCTGCCAAAAAGACATGTAAATTATAAGAAAAACCCAAGTTGAAATGCTGGATCTGGAAGTATGATAACCCAAATGAAAATCTCACTAGAGAGGTTTGACAGCAGATTTGTGCTAGCAAAAGGTAGAACCAGTAAACCTGAAGACAGATCAATGGAAATTATGTACTAAGCATAGAAAGCATAAAGGATGAAGATATATGAACAGATACTCAAGAGAAATATGAGTTGCTATTAAGCTAACCCATATATGTGTAATGGGAGTATCAGAGAAGGACAGAGAATGAGAAAGGAACAGAAGAAATGCTTAAATAAGTGATGGTTAAAATTTCCCAAAGTTGATGAAAAACTTTGATCTGCACATGCAAGAAGCCAGAGGAACTCAAAGTAGGATAGACACAAGGAGATTCACAGACACTTCGTAGATGAAATGTTGATATCCAGAGATGAAGAGGAAATCTTAAAAGTAGCAAGAGAAAAAAAAATTACTCATCAAGTATAAAGGAACCCCAATAAGATAAGCAGCTGACCTCTAGCCAGAAAAAAAAATGTAGGCCAGAAGGCAGTGGAAGAACATACTCAAGATGCTTAAAGTAAAAACTGTCCACCAGAATCTTATACCCAGCAAAACTACCTTTCAAAAGTGAAAGCAAAATAATGACATTCCTAGATAAACAAAAACAGAGAATGTATTGGTAGCCCTTCTAATTTCCAAAAAATACTAATGAAAGTTCTTTAGGCTGAAAGCAATGACACTGAAAGTAACTTGAATCCACATGGAAAAAAAAAAAGAATACAAATAATGGTAATTTATGTAAGTAATTACAAAAATCAATATAAAGGAATATTTCTTCTTCCTATCTTATTTCAGAAGTCCAATGTGCTATCCATTGCATGACAGAGCCAGACCCTATCTTATTTTAAAAGGAATTGTGTAAAACAATATGTATGTACTTGTATTATTGGGCCTATAACAGATAGAAAAGTTATATACTTGATGGTAACAAAACAAAAGAGCTGGGTGGGAGCAAAACTTTTTTGGAAAAAGGAAATGGCACAAGATGATAATTATTATACACAAGCCAAAATTAAGAAAACTATAAATGGAAAATAAGGTTGATATAAAAAAAACTCTGTAAATATGGTCTTTCTCTATTTTTTCTCTGAGCTTTTTAAAAAGAGATTATATCAAATAAATAAATAACGTATCATTGATTAAATAACATACATATGTATAACAATATTAACATAAAAAAGAATTGCAGGAAGGGAGCAACATAGGATTAAACTTTTATTTTAATTGGAACTAAGGGAATGCAAAATCTGAAGCCAATTGTGATATTGTGAGACCTCTAGATCAACCACCTAGAAGTAACTAAAAAATATATAATTAAAAGTATCAAAAGAATAGATAGAAAATATTCATTTAATAGAGAATAAGAAAATGGAAGTGAAATAAAGAACAAAAACGAGATATGAAGAAAGCAAAGTAAAAGGCAGATGCAAATCCAGTAACATCAATAATGGCATCAAGAGCAAATGGACTAAACAATCTTCACATATGGGGATGATGATCATATTAGTTTAAAAATACAAAATCCAAAGTTTTTTTTTTTTGCCCGGCTAGAGTGCAGTGGCACAATCATGGCCCACTTTAACCTCAAACTCTTGGGATCAAGCAATGCAATCCTCCCATCCCAGCCTCCTGAGTAGCCAGAACTACAGGTGTGTACCACTAGGCCTGGCTACATTTTCTTTTAAATTTTTTATAGCGACAAGGTCTCACTATGTTGCCCAGGTTGGTCTTGAATGCCTGGCCTCAAATCATCATTCTGCCTTGGCCTCCCAAAGTGCTGGGATTTTAGTCATGAGCTACTGCACCTGGCTCAAAAATGCATTCTTAAGCCAATAATCCAATAATAAAAATTCTCTTATGTAATCTAGCTCTTCCCAAACGTGAATTATTCTGAGATGAGTAGGAAAATTAATTAAAACCAGTATTCCTTTAACTGAGATTTCTGTATCCATTTTACTGAAACTTCTACAGCCATGACACATTGAATTTATATTGTAACATATAAAGCAAACGTTGTGTCTATAAAACATGAAAAAATTATTGCAGGGGAGTTTTTTGTAACGTCAGCTTTAGTTTATGGCTAATAAGATCAGCTAAACAATGTTCTATTGTCTACACTTAACTGA
This sequence comes from Homo sapiens, assembly GCF_000001405.40. Taxonomy (NCBI): domain Eukaryota; kingdom Metazoa; phylum Chordata; class Mammalia; order Primates; family Hominidae; genus Homo; species Homo sapiens. The sequence goes on along the minus strand of NC_000011.10, from coordinate 104,352,692 downwards.
GTAATTTTGGACTGAATGCTATAAAAAAAAGTTGGCAATTTGATTAATTGATTCACCTGACTTTGTGTAACCATAGCCTTTATAATTCCAAAATGCAGTAAAAACATTTTATTTGTGTTTCAGAATAGTCAACACTCGATGAAAAAATACATTCCTTAAAATTAACCTGTAAATATTTTGTCTAATTAGAAGCAATTTAAGAAGGATGATTCAAATATTTCCAAAAGAAGGTTAATATTGAATATTTTCCTTATCTTTAGAATTTTCACATTATTTCAAGTATGTACATTCAAGGTCCATTTAAGTGTTCTATTGTACAAGTTTGAGTTTCATGTAATGTCTGCACTTCCCTAAGCAAAATAACAATTTGAATACTATGGAAAGTACAGTCATGCATCATTGAATAAGGATACGTTCTGAGAAATACACAGTTGGGCGATTTCATCACTGTGTAAACATCATAGAGTGTTTTACACAATCCTAGATGTTATCTCCTACTACACACCTAGGCTATAAGGTATAGCCTATTCCTCCTAAACTACAAACCTGTACACCATGTTCTGTACTGGATACTACAGGCAATCGTAACACAGTGGTAAGTATTTGCGTATCTAAACTAGAAAAGGTACAGTAAAAACATGGTAATATAATCTTATGGGACCAATGTTTTCTACACAATCCATCATTAACTGAAACATTTTTATGCAGTGCATGAATCTATTTGAGATTTTTTATATTATTATACATATTTTATCCTAATATATGTTCATACAAAATTTCATTTAAATTTTACGATCATTGCATTCTCTGTGGTCAGAAATAATGGTATAGGCAAATGAATAATTCTTTGCTTTCTTATGTATATGCCTTTAATCATAGAAATGGTTTGGTTTTGATTACTTCAAAATTAATTCATTGTTTTCCTAGGTCACATCTTTATGTGAGTGAATGATGAGTGAGTAAATGAGCAAATAAATTCTTGTGTCCATTTTTTTTCCAGTAGGATCTAAACAGAAATGAAGCCTACCAAACACAGAAACATTTTTTATATGCATGTCACAGGGCTTTAATTTTGAACTTTGTTTTGAAATGAAAGAATTCCTATTACATGGAAATTATGTCAATACAAGTTTTTAAATATCATTAATAAGCACTTAATGTTGCTCTTAGATGAATTTTATGCATTTAGTAGTATGTATGATTCCTTGAGACAAAATGAAAAGATAGGTAATTCCCAGAAAGCACCCTAAAGCTGAAGCCATTACAAAACTACAGATTTCTTATTAAAAGGAATATGCATTATTTTGTAATTCAGTAAATATATATTGGTTACCTAAAATGCAGCATTATAGTAAAGGCTAATAATAAAACAATATAAAATATAGACATCACTCCAGTTCTCAGATACCTTACAGATTAATACATCACTAGATTAGAATCCGTAAGACTTTCAGAGATATGGATAGAAAACAAAATGACTTAGATTTTGGAAAGTATATCATAACATAAAAAAGTGTAATGCTTGATTCCTTCAATGTAATATCGTAATACACATTTATTATAAAGATGCTGATGTAGACCAAGTCATTTCTACCTCTTCTTATTAAAATCATTTGAGTCTATTTTACATTTTTTTGAAATCTCCTGTGATCTCAAATTTCAACCCTTGCAGACAAATTTGATTTTGTAAGTAATTAACAAACTGTAGAATTATAAGAATATTTTTAGCTATAATAGCAAAGTAAAGCATATTTAAGTTTGAATTGGTTGAAAGAAAAAAATTCTAACAATCCACAACTTCTGTCTCTTTCCAGAAAGAAGTTAACAGTATCCCTGATGCATTTACTCCACAGTCTCTACCTCAGTTTAGGAATTTTTGTTTTTTCTTCAGTTCATTGTCCTCTTCTAAAGTATAAGTTTCAGTGGTTTTATAAGTAAACTGCTTAATAATTGCTTAATCCTTCCATAGATCAGTTTCCTCATCTGTAAGATGTGGATCATAAATGTGCCCACATCACTAGGTTTTTGTTGGAATTAAATAAAAACTGTATATAAACCATTAAAATAGAGTGCCACCAGTTCAATCACAGGCTAATTCATATACTTTAGCTTTAAGAGTCCAGTTTTCCTCATACACTCAAAAAACTGTCTCTTATCATTGATTCTGTCTTCCACATAATGTGTTATCTTTCTCAAGATAATGATCTTTGTCAAGATAATTTTTATCAGGCTGCAGATATACCCTGCCAGGTGAAAAAAAATAATACTTCATGTCTGTTCTGAGATAACGATTCATTTCTCTGTGCCTTTCCATAGCAAAGTACTCACCACAGTAATTTTATCTCTGTTTCTTATTTCCCAGTGTTTTTCATTTTCCTCCAACTAAGTTTCTATTCTCACAACTAAGTAAAACTGTACAAATCCAAGTCATCTATAACTTCCACATTGTCAAACCCACGTGACTCTGTACATGCCTTTTCTAACTCTGTAAAGTACTTATGAACATCTGCGGTCCCTTTCCTTGGGTCTTCTAGTCAATCATCAGCAAGATCCCTTATATTCTCAGTCTCTTCTCTACAATTTCATTCATCTTAGTGGATTAATTCAACCCCATCTGTCACCTGATGGTTCTCCTTCCTTAGGGTCTCTCATATATTGACTGTTTGCTTTCCCACACCCCACATACCTCTGGTCCTCAGTTAGGGTAGGTTTCCCTTTGTTCTGGATTGGCATGGCCAAAGAATGCATCCTTTTACCCTTGAACCTGTAGATGGTTAAGGGTGCCCTTCTGTCCTCCCTAAATACTTCCAGTTTGAATCACCTGTCATGAGACTAACCCTCCTTAGTTGAGTCATCTACTGATCCTGGGGGCAACTGTCCCTCTTTTCTTGAAGATTTTACATCAAGATTCAATGTTATTTTCTACAATATAACTGTTATTTTATTTTTTTAATGATTTCACTGTGTACATAAAAAAATCCTTACAACACCATGGCTATTTTTCCTATGTGATACCAATTTCATTGAACAGAGCAGTTTTTGAAGAAGCATACTCTGGGAAGCTGTGGTCTGGAGCTTAGGAGAGGCTTTAGAAAGAAAATAATTTATATCTGGGCCTTAAAGATGAAAGTGAGATTTAGCAAAACAAAAGGGGATAAAGTGTAGGGAAATTGAAGGAGACAATGTGGCTGAGAAAATATATGTAAAAATTTCTTTCCTAAATAGACCTCAAAAGTATATTATTTCTCTACTTAAGTTGTCTTCCCTCCCCTCTCTGTACATGAAATTCCTTCACAACTTTTAGGGCTTGGAACAGAACTTAAGACTTTTGTACCAACATTCCCCAACCACCTTAACAAAAACCAAGCAGCCTGCATTTAAATTCTGACTGCGCTATCATCAGGATTATTTATTAAACACTTCTCATATGTGAACTTTTTTACATTTTTGTTTGTGCCTTCACATAACTTCCTCAGTGCGAAGAATATGCTGTGTTTGCCGAGGGAAGGAAGGATGATGTCTAACACATCTTTTATACCTCTCCTTTCAATAAAAGCTAATGTCAGGATAATGTATAAAGCAAATTTTAAAAGAAGTGGAATATCTTTATGAAAAACTTTTACAAATACATGTACATATATCATTGACAGTATGCTTCTCACAACAGTAGGCATAGAGTTTGTCATAGGTCACACAGAGTCACACAATCACAAGTGAAAGACACCTTCAAGTTATTCCCTTTCTTTGAGCAAATGAGAATACAGAGGCCAAGAGACAGTAAATGGTATATCCCTATTACAGAGCCACAAGTCTGGAACTGAAATTTAGGTCTTTTACTTCCTTAGTTATTATACTTTCTACTACACCATTCTGCTCCACAACCATTACAATAATCACTGGCATTATTATTATACCTTATTAAGGATATGTAAAACCAAATATGTTTTATTAGAACCCTCAAATCTATTCACATGAGTATAGACATCACTGTTGCTACTCATTTTACATTCTTTCCTGCTCACAAATTAATGGGTCCTTCAAGATGCATTGCCTTCCCTAAAACAGTGTTCACATTTTTCAGTGCTCACATCTGTTTGCTGGAAAATTCCAAACACTCATTAGGCAAATGATTGCTTGTATTAGTAAAAAAATTTACTGGAAGATATTATAATCCCAAGAATAAAATGAAGCCATGAGCAACACAGCTTGATGACCCAAGCTTTAGAAGCACTATAATTTCTCTGAAAATACAATTAGAGTTAGGCAATATGTAGCATGTTATTGCAATAAAAATAAATTAATAAGTTATGCCATAATTTCTTTTGTTCACATTATGTTTTTATTTTCTGTATGTTGTCCTAGGTTCTAAACTGCATTCTTTGAAAGAAACGGTGTTGTCACCTTGCTAATATCCTTGGACATTCAAATGCTGAACTAAAGCTGCTTTCATAGACACTTAGCTACCACCAATCCTGGGTCATATATTACTGATAACATTGATGAGGTTTATGGCTACATCTGGTAGATTTGCCACACATTTTGTAGTGCCTTTGCTGTGCACTCAGCATGTAACAAAGGTGAGAGACATTCTGTATTAGTCCGTTCTCATACTGCTAATAAAGACATATCCCAGACTGGGAATTTATAAAGGAAAGAGGTTTAATTGACTCACAGTTCTTCGGGGCTAGGGAGGCCTCAGGAAACTTACAATTATGGTGGAATCAGAAGCAAACACATGTTTCTCAGGGCGGGAGGAAGGGGAAGTGCCAAGCAAAGGAGAGAAGATCCCCTTAAAAAACCATCAGATCTATGAGAACTCACTCAGTCTCAGGAGAACAGCATGGGTGCAGTGGCCGCCATGATTCAATTACCTACCATTGGGTCCCTCTCATGACACATGGGGATTATGGGAACTACAAGATGAGGTCTGGTGGTGGGGACACAGACAAACCATATCACATTCTGTGCTCTGTAGTTGCTTACCAAGTGTCTTAGTCTGATTCTGCTGCTATAGCAAAAGGCCGTAAACTGGGCAGTTTATAAACAACAGAAATTTGTTTCACACAATTCTAGAGGTTGAGAAGGTCAAGATCAAGGCACCAGCAGGTTCAATGTCTGGTGAGCTCTGCTTTCTGGTTCATAGACAATGCCTTCCTTCTTGCTCTGTCCTCATTTGGTGGAAGAAACTAGCCAGCTCTTATAATATGGTGAGATTGCATAGGCAGTAATCCCGATCATGAGGGCTTCACCCTCACGATCTAATCACTTTCCAAAGATCTCACCTTCTAATACCATCACCTGGAAAGTTAAGATTTCAACTTATGCATTTAGGCCAGTGGGGAAACACAAACATTCATACCCTAGGATCGAGCTTATAATTATAGAAGTAAAATTCCCTTAACCTGACCTACACTTAACAAGCTAAGTCTCTTTTCTCTGAAAACATAACTATTGATGTTTGTAACATAGTGAAAAGATGTGGTTATTAACAGAAATCTTGCTCTTCAAATTGTGATCCAAGGATCTGCAGCAGCAGCCACAACTGAAAGCTTGTTAAAAATGCCGACGTTCAGGCCACAAATCTAGGCCTACTAAATCAGAATGTGAATTTTATCTCTTATGCACGTTAAAATTTGAGAAGCAATACTCTAGTATACCCAATCACTTCTGTTCTTTCTACCTGGGATATATGCTTACCACGTGTCAGTTGCATTTGTTCCTATATGCACAACTCTTTAAAATAGCCTGTGTGTTGTTGTAATGAAAAAATGATGACATGAATCCAGAAAGAAAGGTAGTTATCATTTTTATCATTTTCGCGTGCTAAGTTACATACTTTGCCAAGATTCCGTAAAAGTAAATCATGGCTATAATGGACATTGAATTAGTTAGGCAGAACAACTATTAATATTTAAAAAGGGTGGAAATTGTAAAAATCCAGAGTGATTCCGAATTTGGATCGCTTCATATGTGGCTTTAAGTCTCCACGTTAATTTAAATATATCAAAATAGGACATGCTAGATGTTGCAGAAAACACAGCGTAGAACTTGTTGATCTATGTAAAAACATTTGTGAACAAAGTGCATCTCTATGGTTTGAGTAAAAACAATAGATGGGGCCAGATCTCAGAGGCTCTTCAGGAAACAAACAGTCAAACATTATTCCAATCTTGCTTATATAATTTTGTATACAGAGATAAGTAAACTATTGCTAAGTGGGAATATGAAACTCAAGAAACATAGTATGGACTAATAGAAAGGGTATAAGTTCAGTTTTGTGTAATTCATTCATTCAACAAATATGTCCAGAAAATCTGCCAGACATAATAGTTGCTGAACATACAATGTGAACAAGACAGACATGATCTGTCTTCACAGAGGTTCCCTCTGGCAGGGAGATATAACCCTCTAAATTGCTTGCTTTTATGAAAGCTCAGGTTTCTCCTCCAGAGAGACAATCTTATCTACTTCATAGAGTTTTGCTGAAGGTTAAGTGGGATTATGTTGTATCTAGAAGTTCAATAAATCTAATCTCCCTCTTTACCTTTGTTCAATATATAATAGAAATCATTGGAGTTTCTTGAGCAGAGGACTTCCATGAATCAGAGGTTCTTTTAAGAAAATCAATTTAGCTTGTAGAACAATTAGTTTAGGTGGGAAGGAATGCATGGTGTTCTTTACTGGGGAGATATGAGAGACAATTTACAGTAAGAACTCACTTTTCCTGGCTGAGGAAGCTTCCCAGCTAACCTTTGGAGTTCCTCCTGAAGCACTAGCTTCTCTTTCCACTCCCACCAGCTCCACTTCTCCAATCACTTGAGTAGTTTTATTCTTGAGATGCAAGCAAAAAGCAAATAACCTCTCTGGAATATTTCTTGTTCCTAAAAAGCCATACATGTCATTTTTATGTGATTTTAGAGAAATATTTTTAAAATAAAATTATAGGAATATAGTCCAATAATTGGTAGCCACACCTTCTAAACAAAGCTTCCTGTTTCCCAGAAAATTTCTAACCCACATTAGTACTTAACGCATCCAATACTCTCAACGCCACTATCTCCCACCTTGCCCTCCACCACATGCTCCCATATCCTCTTATGATTCGCAGCTTTCTAGATTCTCTTCCATTTGGTCTCTCACCTACTTCTCATTTCTTCCCAAGGCTTCTTTTAATTCAACAAATTTTATTCAGTATTTGTAATAATCATTCCTGTTTTATAAATAGTTAATAGAAAGGGAAGATATTTGTATCAATTAAATCAAGTTCTCTATTTCTCTGCCATGATATATAAATTATAAAGACCTAAAATGTTTCTTTTGCCTTACAAATCTACTTCTCTTTTAAATATAGATTTGATAGCAGAGGGCACACCAATAAACACACAAGCACAAATGTAACATCACTTTAGAGACTTTATCTTCAAAATCATTACTAAATTTATTATGTTTTATAGAATTACATCTAAAACTTAGCTTGGCTGGGCACACTGGCTCATGCCTGTAATCCCAGCACTTTGGGATGCCAAGGCAGGAGGATTGCTTGAGTCCAGGAGCTCAAGACCAGTCTGGGCAGCATAGCCAGAATTTGTATTTACAAGTAACAAAAAAATTATCCAGGCATGGTGGCACACACCTGTGCTCCCAGCTACTCAGAAGACTGAGGTAAGAGGATCACTTGGGCCTGGGAGATCGAGGCTGCAGTGAGCCATGATTGTGCCATTACACTTCAGCCTGGGCAATAGAGTGAGGCCCCATCTCAAAAAAATTTTTTTAATAAGTAAAAACTTTTAAAAAAATAAAAATTAGTTTAATGTCATTCAGTTGGAAGAGTATGGGCTTTAGAGTGAGGAAGATGTAAATTGGAAACGATGCTCTGACACTTACCAGTTCTGCAATCTCAGGCACATTACCTAGTTACTGACCTTCACTTTCTTCATTTTCAAAGAAAGTTTTTCCAATAGTATAGACTTGTAATGAAAATTAGATGTAATACCTAAAATGCCATATAATAAATACAAAAGTGTGTGTTTTAGTTGAAAGGGAATGTTAATTATTTGCAAAAGGTTGAGTAGGACTTCTTTTCTGAAGACAATTAATTTTTGTCCATTGCATGGTATTCTGTTCTAGTATTTAAATTTGTGTAACTTACATATATATTGACCAAAGCTTTGCACTTGTTGCCAGAATCAATGAATTTTCCATGTATTAAGAAATACTTATTCTATCTGTACATAAAATGATTCAATGTGACCACTGATAAATTCTGCACATTTATACACAAAATACTGAAAACGTATTTTCTTTTCAAATTCTCACTGTTGTCCAATGATTTCGGAACTACTTCAGAATGATAACTTATGTGACAGTTCTGAGATTTTTAAGGAATTCATAAAATATATAATAAACCTTTGTGTCTCTCAAGTTTTTTTAATCCTAGAAAGACTGAGTTCAACTTATATCTGTGATTCAAAATGTCATGCTTACTTATGCTGTGCTTATAATTTTGTGAACCTTGAGACCACACTGCCCTCATACATTCTTTGAACACAGTCATTTCTTGAAACTTCCATTTTGTCTCAGGGTTCATCCAAGTAACTGCTTATTCTGTTCTCCCCTTTCAGAGAAGATTTTAATATTTCCCTCCAATTCTGAAGTGGTCAGAAGGACCAGAGAATGGATCAATTCAAAAGCAGCATTCTCCTAGGAGTATATTAATTATGATTAACAAGTCAAATTATATTGCTCCAGGTGCTGCACTGAAGAAGAAAAACAGTGCTCTAGGAGTGTGCCTGTCTGACAGGTGTGGATGTGACTCCAGTCCTAACAAGAATACAACAGGAACCAGGAAAGAAAATCACTTAAGTGGTAAAAAATACAGCAAAATTGCAATACCAGTGGCTACCACAGAGGTCTCTGAGAATTAAGTGTGTAATTTCAGGCACAGTATGGGTCCAACTAAACAACACTTACTTTTGTGATTGTATTGCTTCTTTTTAACTGTTAACCATTTAAAATCCTCATTTCTCCCCCTTTAATCTTAACATGTTTGGAGAAGAGAGAAAAGGTTAATTTGCATTTTTCCACACACGGTCAGGGACCCAGTACATTTCCACTGTGCCTCTCTACTTCTTCATTTATTCATGTTTTCTCCCTTTATTCATTTATAAAATATTTGAACACCTGTTAAATAGTTACCACTGTGCCTATTGCCATCTGCCACATCATAAAATAGAGACATTTTTCTCCAGTATATTGCCTGAACAGTAGCTAAATGACATAGTAGTTTCCTGAGAGGATAAGCCCATTGTCCACTTCACTTGTGAACACAAACCCAACTCCAGACAGAGTTTACCTTAGAGTGAATACAATCTAATGAATCCATAAGCAAATGTATTTGCTGGAGAGAACTTGTAATCTCTTATCCCAGAAAAGCCAGAAGCAATTGCTACATGGATGGGATTTGGCATAATGTTGTGCCAGAGGACACAGGAAATATTACTGCCTTAAAGTTTTCTGTAGACCCCAGGGTAGGTTTAATTTTGACAAGACTGCCCAAAAAGATAATGAAAGGTTTTTTCTACTTATATATTAAGTATTCAGATGGTTAGAATAATAAATATATCACAAATTATATATATACTACAGGTTATAAAATGACCATTTAATGACAATTTTTGCATTCGGTGGCAAATATAAAACACCTTTAAAGAATAGTAGTATTACTAAATGAGCTAAATGTCTACCATAAAGGCTTTGCGAAAATATTATACAAGGCCAGACCACTCTTACAAATAATTTAATCAATAAATATGATCAAAACCAACTAGTTCTGATTTAAATGATAACTTCATAACAATTATTTTCCAATTAAAAAATTTATAATTGAAATGAAGAATCAAATCTGCTCAAGTATAACACGAGTCCTTATGCTAAATAAAATTAACTTCATAAAACAAATCCCAAGCCATGACATTTTCTAGGATTTATTTAAGAAGTAATGCTAAACTCCCACTTGCTCCTGTATTTTTTTATTTTGTTATTAATACGGCTCAATTAAAACCTGTAGAAATTTTAAAATTAAACTCTACATTTGAGTCTGTACGTGTCACTTATTCATTCCTCACTTGATAGCAAATCATTCAAGTGAAAATACACCAGCAAAATCCTGAGCAATTTGAATGCAAATTAAATCAATACAATAACTTAGAAGAATTTGCCATTGTAAAGCATGCAAGTTCAGGCAGCTGCTCAGGATCCTTATTTTGTTTAGTTAATCTCTATTAGTATAACTATATTTAAGGCATTAATTGCAAACTCCATTTTTAAGTGTGATAAAGCCCAGAGCAATCAGAATTATAACCAAAAGGTGACTGTATTCAGGAAGCTAAAGAATAGATGCAGTTCCCATTCTAAACTAAGTCAAAATAACATACCTTGTCACATGAAAATCATAAAGTTAACTGCAGAAATCAATAAAAAAAGTTGCTTTCTCTTCCCATCATTTGTTCATACAACTAACAATGATTATGATTGTAGTTGAAAAAGTTATAGTGTAGATGTAAAATTTTTTTCAGAATATTCTGATGAATAATTCCAAAAGATAAGGTGTTACTCCATGAGTTTCTCTTTAGTTTCTGAGGTAAGCTTTCTCTACTATGAAAACGAACACCAACAAAGAAGCAGCACTGTAGTATCAAGTTCCAAACATGAGACAGGAATTAAAATGTGTTTTGAAGCCAATTTTAGTCACCTCCACATTTTAATATAAAACATTTTTAAAGAAAAGCAGTACAACTAAGTAAGTTACATGTTTACCGTAAAAGCTTTGGGAAAATATACAAACCCAGATCACTGTTGTAAATAATTTAATCAGTACATATTATTGAGCACTTGCATTTCACCAGGCTATTGGGCCAGGCAGGATTTGGGGGTACAGAGATGAATAAAGCATTCTGTAGTGTGGTGGGAGTGGGGCCCCTTATGTAAACAAAGACGAACTGCACAGTGTGGCTGGAGACCTATACAGGCATATATAATGTCTTGGGAACAAACAGGAGAAAGCTCCTAATTGTACCTAAAACAAGGTCAAGGCCCTCACAAAAGTGAAAAGACTTGAGCTGAGACAAGGAGAGAACAAGAAGACTCTCATACTTGCTTCAAAATTATAAAGACTCTGGATACATGGCAAAGCCTCCCAAAGCCCAGAGCCACCAGTGAGGGAGGAGTGACCTGAGAAAGGTTAGAGCATCTCAGTAAAGTTGAATTGGTCACCTATGCTGGTGACTGACTTACAAGTAGTCCAGGTGAAGCTGCATGATTTACCTGCAGGTTTAATCTACTGGTTAGAAATCTTTGGTGAACCCTCTGGTAATCTCCTAGACATGAGCAGCATGTCCATTTGCTATCAGCTTAACACATGGAAGAGTTGTTATTGTGCAGGTTCATATCCACTTAGCAGTGGGTTTGTACCTGGTAACAATCAAAATTAACAAAATGTGTCCTGGATTCCTATCTACCTCCCAACCTGTTGCTCCCAAGACATTACATATGCCTGTATAGGTCATCAGCCACACTGTGAAGTTATTCCCAACCTGGTTGGGAGATAGATAGGATTAATACTCTTTCTCTATGTGCCAATATTGCTCCTCAAACCATGCATTTTCCCTACTTCTGAATCACTATTTCTCCTTCCACTTCTCATGGCCTTAGCAATCCTGTAAAACTCCAGAAAGTGTGAAATAAAATGGTCCTTGCTATAGTTTTTATTTTTTTTTTCTCCGTGAGATTGCAGAAAAGAAAGACAAGTCATCAAAACCAAGGCCAGAGAACAAGTTAAAATGCTCTTGGAGAATTGACTTTCAGGACAGAGGAAATTAGATTTATTTGGCAAAACTGAGCCAAGGCAGGAGCCAAAGTCAGATGGATTAGGGTAATGAAAGCCAAAGACAGACAGTACTGATAGAAAGGAATTTAATCAGGAGAAAGAGCCCACGTGTGTGTAAGGTTGGATCTAGAGACTAAATCATGACCTTTTTAAAAGCAGAGAATCTGTCCCAATCTCCTCCTTAATACACAGAGGTAAGATACTGAGTTTTGAATGTATACAGTCATTCTAGTTTCTTCTGGCTATTCTAATAAACTGCTAATAGTGGATATTTTCCTTTGAAATAAATATATGTTCAAACCTCCTACATCATTTCAGTAATTTCTGGCACCAAGGTAAGCAGATGATGAAGAAAATTTTTGGTAAACAAGACTGCTTCTCTTCCTTAAAAATCACATCTATGATATAGGTATCCACGTCCATAGGTTGAGTAACCCAAGTCAGACACCCCTGTACTATTCAATCCATGTAGGTTGAGATGGGAGGGGTCAAGAGGAGAGTATGTAGTAAATGTGATACAATGTTAATTTAAAACCACACTAAATAAATTGATTTACTAATATAAGAACTAGAAATTCACATAAACCACATGAGAATTGTCTTTTCTCCTGGTTCTTTTTTCACCTGACCAAGGGCTGCTTTATTCCCTAAATGACACTCAGTTAATAATGAACATCAGAAGTTGTTTGAAAAAATGATCCTACTTACATAAATGATAAGCAAATTAATCTATTCAGCTGTATGATTCCACCTACATAAACTGCTGGCTCCAGATAAACAAAATACAAAATACAATCATCATCCCTTTGTGTCCGGAATTGGATCCTTCCGGTGGGTTCTTGGCCTCGCTGACTTCAAGAATGAAGCCATGGACCCTCGTGGTGAGTGTTACAGTTCAAGACGATGTGTCCCAGAGTTTGTTCCTTCAGATGTTCAGATGTGTCCCGCATTTCTTCCTTCCGGTGGGTTTGTGGTCTCGCTTGACTTCAGGAGTAAAGCCGCAGACCTTCGCAGTGAGTGTTACAGCTCTTAAAGGTGGCACATCTGGAGTTGTCTGTTCCTCCTGGTGGGTTCGTGGTCTGGCTGACTTCAGGAGTGAGGCCGCAGACCTTCACAGTGAGTGTTACAGCTCTTAAAGGTGGCGCCTCTGGAGTTGTCTGTTCCTCCCGGGTGGGTTTGTGGTCTCACTGACTTCAGTAATGAAGCTACAGACCCTAGCAGTGAGTGTTACAGCTCATAAAGGTAGTGCAGATCCAAAGAGTGAGCAGCAGCAAGATTTATTATGAAAAACGAAAGAACAAAACCGCCACACCCTGAAAGACTACCCAAGGGAGATGCGCTGCTGATTCAGGTGGCCAGCTTTTATTCCCTTATTTGGCCCCATCCACATCCTGCTGATTGGTCTGTTTTACAGAGCACTGATTGGTCTATTTTACAGAGTGCTGATTGGTCCGTTTTTACAGAGTGCTGATTGGTGTGTTTACAAACCTTTAGCTAGACACAGCACGCTGATTGGTGCATTTTTACAGAGTGCTAATTGGTGCATTTATAAATGTTTAGCTAGACACAGAGGGCTGATTGGTATGTTTACAATCCTTTAGCCAGACAAAAAAGTTCTCCAAGTTCCCCAGCGACCCAGAAGCCCAGCCGGGTTCACCTCTCACCTTTAATGTTTCATCTGATTGCATGTCCAAAATAATGTGTTCCTTTGAAACAACACATTTCAAGAGCAAGCAATAATCCAAAACTGTTATATCTGATAAAATCAAAACAGAAACAAAAAAGAACATCATTATTACTAGTCTACTCTGTAAATGTACTTTTCATTTTTATTTTATTTTTATTTATTTATTTATTTTTGAGACAGAGTCTTGCTCAGTTGCCCAGGCTGGAGTGCAATGGCATGATCTCAGCTCACTGCAACCTCCGCCTCCTGGGTTCATGCCATTCTCCTGCCTCAGCCTCCCGAGTAGCTAGGACTACAGACGCCTGCCACGATGCCCGGGTAATTTTTTTTTTTTTTTGTATTTTTAGTAGAGATGGGGTTTCACCAAGTTAGTCAGGATGGTCTCGATCTCCTGACCTCGTGGTCCACCCACCTCAGCCTCCCAAAGTGCTAGGATTACAGGTGTGAGCCACTGCACCCAGCCTGTACTTTTTTATTTAAACGAGGAATGCATGCACAACTTATATATCACAGAACATGCCCTGTGCAATAGCTTCAACTCCTGAAATATGCTCTCAACTCCTGAAATATGCTCTCTTTGGGTCCTTAGAAGTGGCTTATCAGAAAGTATTAGGATGAGAAATGGCACTTACCCACTAATATGTTAGTTTGGTTCAGACATAGTACATTTCAGGAGTTTAGACTTGTCCCAAACTCGATGAGAAAGGCAAGCCCTGGACAAGTCCTGTTGTACCTTCTTTCTATGTTACATCATAACCACAAACATTTTCACACACAATATTTTTACACAGAAAAAGATAAAAGTCAACATTTTAGAGTGCTTATTGTGTTTGTGGAAGGTAGAAAAGTATCACCATCAAATTGTACAGTTTTTTCTTTTTGGAAGTTATTACCTCAGCCCAGCAAAAATTTTACTTTCTCCCACCCAATTACTTCCCCAAGTCACTGCCAAACTCCTGGATACCACAGAAAGAAAGTCTTCCATTGCTCTGAACTGCAGAGCCAACCAAACAGGCCCTTCTTCTGTTTCCCCTCGATTCATATCTGATAATAGGTCATTTTACCCACTTGAAACTAATCAGGACCTTGAGCCAAATTATGACCTAGGAGGAAATCACAATGAAGATGGATACAAGGGGAGAAATAGGCAAGGGAGTCCCTTATAAACATTTAGGGCTAGCCTCATGGTAATCCACAGGAAGCCTGTCTGAAAAGCTGTGATTCCAGAACAATATCCCTGAGTGAAACAGAAGCAGATTTCTTCCCACTATGCCCGGTGTAATGAAGAAAAGTAAGACTTTAACAGCAGGACTTTCAAACAGTAGGTGCTTTTATTTCTTCATTGAGCTATGTTTCTACTCAGAACCTGTTAAAGAAGTTCTATTTTTTTCAGCACTCTGACCAAAAAAATGGGTTTTTTTACATTAAGCTCTCTGTGTCCCACCTTTTCCCAAAGTGATTCATTAAATTTACAAGATACATGGCATTTTGTGGAAATTTGTCATGGGACTGGCTGGTCTGTTCCTGAGTAGTAGGAGGTAAAGTGACACTACTAATACAAAGACAAGTCTGTCCAGGCAGAGAAGCCACCAAGGAGGGAGAGGCGGTTGGAGAAAGTCTACATTTCCAAGGGATACAGAGATTCTGGGTGACACCGGGTTATCCAAGGACAGCATGATTCATGACTGGCGGGGAAATAAAAATAGACATTGGGTCACAGATTTCTGCTTTTGTTCCTGAGTATGTAGGCATTAAATCAGATCATTCAATAATTACTATTCAGTCAAATAAGACTCAGCATCTCTAACTGATTCATTTTTTCTTTCTGTACCAGATAATTATTTCCTTCTCTACCTTTCTTTTGGATATAGGTTACGTGATAGTGTCCCCAATTTAATTACCTAAAGAACAGAAAAAATAAAACCCCCATTGAGAGCAAAATATGAAATAAAGTCTGCATTTAAAAACATCTAGGGATACACAGTACCAAAGCTTAATGTCTTCCAGCCCTGCACCATAATACAAAGATTCAGGTTTTGTGGGGCTGATTTTCCAGTTGCAGTGGAGTTTTAGAAAAAATAAATAAAATCACAAAAAATGAAGTATAAACATAAATGTACATTTAGAAAAGAAAATAAATTACTGATTTTTAAAAGCCAACAGATATATCATCATACATATTAGGAAATAACATAGTATTTGTATTAATTGCCTGATTACTTTTCATAATATACCTTTGTTTCTACAGTCTTCTGGCTGAATTCTCTTGATCTTCTCTTCATGTAGCAATGACATTGTAACATTTTCTACAGGGAAAGTAGAAAGATAATTCAGGGTTTTCTCTAGTTTGTTTTCAATTATTGATAATTTAGAAAGTTAATATGAAATTAAGGCTTACATGAGAGTAATTCAAAAGCATTTTAAGTTCCTTCTATGTTGTATTGAATTATACAATACGTAATCAAATTACTCTTACACTACATACATTGATTTATTGATGAGTATGTGTAGTTTTCTTACTAGAACTCTTGCTTCTTCAGATAATTTAAGTTTATTGATGGTGATTTGCATGCTCCCATTGACTAGAAGTACCAGATTTCATCAGAAAAAAAAAGTGTCAATGTGTCAAATATGCTAAGATGCAATTCAATGTGATTGAAAAAATAAAATTAGCAGATTCACATGAAGGTACACCAGATATTTAGAAAATTGCTACCAGTTTGTACCCTACAAACATAATTCTGAATTGTGTTTTAAAAACTGCCCATTAAAAAGCATGTTAAATTTATAATTTTAATACTTCTATGTCAAGTACATGACTCAAAGTAGAAAATTTTTAGTATTAGTAGTTGTCAATGAAAATTAAACTCTTCACTTATATTTTACACATCTGATGACTGGCAAAAATTTCCTTAGGCAGCTTCCAGCACACAAATGTTTAATCCTAGTTTGTCTCCCACTGCCTATAAACTTCTGGTACCGAGTGTCATGCAACATATTCATGTCCTGATACAGCGCCTGACCCTTCACTTTCTTGTGATGAAAACAGATGTAGCATCAGGGTGGAAGGTCTTCCTACAACAGAAAACCTATTAACAAATAGATTTACCATTTCTACTGGTCTTCATTTTTCGTATGTAGATGCAAATTTCCATCTGATATATTTTCTTTCTTCCTAAAGAATTTCTCTTAACATTTCTCATAGTGCAAATTTGCTGCTGCTATTACCTTTGGATCTCTGAAAATGTCTTTATTTTACCTTTATTTTTAAAAGATATGTTTACTGGATAAAAAGTTCTGGGTTGAGAGGGTTTTATTTCCCTCCCTCTTTCAGCATGAGTTCTAGTTTGTATTGTTCATACTCCACTTATATTTTACCCATTTGAGGATTGGGAGAATTTTCCATAGGCCAGCATCTGGAACATGTTTCAAAAACTTTTTTCCCTGCTGCCACCTCTACACTTCTGGTATGAGTGTTTATTATTATTCTTATTTGTATATATCTATACACTATGCAATGCCTTCTTGCTTCTAACTGCTTTTAGGATTTTCTCTTAGTCACTGGTTTAGAGTAATTTGTTAATGATGTCCTTCATTTTTCTTGTGCTCAGGCTTCTTTGCCCTACTGTGAAATTATACTGTGAATCAAATTTATAAATTATTTAGCTATTATTTCTTCATCTATTTTCTTCTGGGCTTATTCTTCACAGACTTCAGTGGTATACATTAGGCTGCTTGAGGTTGTCCTGCAGCTCAATGAGGTATTGTCCTTTTTTATTTTTTTCTGATTTTCTGTTTTAATTTGAATCATATCAGTTGTTAAGCCTTGACACTCACTAATCTGTTGACTGTTTTAAAAATCATCCAGGACTCTCTTTAACACATTCATGTTTTCTTCTAACTTCTTGAATAGCTGGAATATATTTATAATTGTTTTAATATGCCTGTCAACTAATTATTTTATCTGTGTTATTTCTTGATTTCCGTATTATTTACATATTTTTCTATCTTTTTGCATGCCTAGTATTTTTTAATTGGATGCCAGATATTATTAATTTTACCTTATTGGATCCTGAACAATTTCTGTATTTCTTTAAATATTCTTGAGTAGTTTTGTTATGGAATACAATTAAGTTATGTGGAAACCCTTTGATTTTTCAAGAATTTCTTTCAAAACTTGTTAGGCTAAACCACAACAGCCTTTATCCCAAGGCTAATTTTGCTGCATTACTGAGACCTTTTAATTACACTACTCAATGCCCTGTATGTTAAAAGTTTTTTTTGTTTGTTTTCACTTTGTGATGGGAACGCAAACTACTCCTGTCCTTGTGTGAGCTCCAGGGATTGTTCCACTTATTTTTCAGGTTGCTGTTTCTCAACCCTTGGGTGGTCACTACTCTTTATCTAACACTTGCTGATTGATACTCAGCTGAAGACTTTGCAGATCTCAAAGTCCTCTCCTACCTATGCAGCTCTTACCAATTCTCTTCCTATGTTCTCTCTGAGCTGTTTTCCACTCAGGCATAATGCTGACCTTTATTTGCATTATCCCTCCTTGTACAGCAGTCTGGAAACTCTCCCCAGTATTAACCTTGGTAATTGTAGTGCTTACCTTGTTTCTTTTCCTTCTATCAAGAATCATTATCCTGCCTGTTGTACAGTCTCTGAAAATTGTTGTTTGATATATTTTGTCTGGCTTATTATTTGGTTATGCCAGAAGGATAAGTCTGGTCTTTGTGATATGGTTTAGCCTTGCGTCCCCACCCAAATCTCATCTTGAATTGTAAACCCCATGTGTTGAGGGAGGAACCTGGTGGGAGGTGATTGGATCATGGGAGAGGTTTACCCCCTGCTGTTTTCATGATAGTGAGTTCTCATGAGATCTGGTGGTTTTATAATTGTTTGGCAAGTTCCTCCTTCACTCGCTTCTCTCTCCTGCCACCAGGGGGACCTGCCTGCTTCCACTTCCGCCATGATTGTTAGTTCCCAGAGGCCTCCTCAGCCATGCAGAACTGTGAGTCAACTAACCTCTTTCCTTTATAAATTAAGATACTATCCAGTCTGGGGAAGTATCTTTATAAACATGTGAGAATGGATGAATACACCTTGTAACTCTGTCATGGCCGGTAATAGAAGTCCATTAAGTATAACTTAATTAAATGTAGATATTCAGTATTAACCACATTAAAATACCTCAACTAAACCAAACCTGAGTGTATTCCAAATTCAGCTTCCAGTAGCTGGATCTCAATATGCTCACAGCCACTTCAAGGTGACCTGATGTTGACAAAGTATAACACAAAGGCAGTCAAGGTGGAAATACATTTTGGCACTTCCCTGATGGCTTCCAGGGAATTCTGATTTTCTTTTTTTAACCATCATCTTTTCCTTTGAGATGGAGTCTCACTCTGTCACCCAGGTTGGAGCGCAGTGGCACAATCTTGGCTCACTGCAACCTCTGCCTCCTGGGTTCCAATGATTCTTCTGTCTCAGCCTCCCGGGTAGCTGGGACTACAGGCACGCACCACCATGCCCAGCTAATTTTGTATTTTTAGTAGAGACGGGGTTTCACCATGTTGGCCAGGCTGGTCTCGAACTCCTGACCTCATGTGATCCACCTGCCTCAGCTTCCCAAAGTGCTGGGATTACAGGCATGAGCCACCGCACCTGGCCCATCATCTTTTATTTCTGTATGTGATGTGTATAAGTCTTGTACTGCCTGGAATTTTACAGCTAAAACATATATCTTAATGGGTTAACAGAACACAGAATTTTTACACATAGGTTATAAGAATCATTTTTTTCATAAATAAAGAAAGAGCAGCCACCTATATTTACCCTCCCTTGTCATCTTGATCAACATCCCAACCCTGGTCTAATTTTCAGCTACATCTTCTGAGAATATATTCACCCCTGTGGCGTAACTTCTATGGAACATTGTGACTGGAACCATTCCATAGCAGGTACCCCTTTTTTCTTTAAAATTTTTTTTCCTTTAAAAAGTGTTTCCTTTTTCTTTCATTTTCTTTAGTACTTGGAAGTTTACAACCACACCACAATTTAGTCAAAAGTAGAAAATTAGGCCAGGTGTAGTGGCTCACACCTATAATCCCAGCACTTTGAGAGGCCGAGGAGGAAGGCTCACTTGATTCCAGTAGTTTGAGAACAGCCTGGGCAACACAGTGAGACCCTATCTCTACAAAAAATATATTTTAAAAAATTAGCTGGGCATGATGGCACATGACTGTAGTCTCAGCCACTCGGGGGGCTGAAATGATGACACCACTGCATTTCAGCCTGGATGACAGAGCAAGATGTTGTCAAAAAAAAAAAAAAAAAGAGGTAGGCCATCAGTCATTAATTTTTTCAAGGACAGCTTCCAGTAGAAACAAAGATATATAACACACCCACCCCACGCCAACCCAACAATACTTATCCTTGAAGTATTTCAAGCCAACGAGTGAATAGTTCCACTACAAGGGCTTTGCATTTTCAGGGTATAAAATAAAGACCTACATGACTTCTTGTGTGTATTCCTAAGGAGGAGCAGAAGACAGTGTATCTGGATTTTAGAGGTAGCAGATAATAGAGGCAAGGCTCACATGGCTTTCTTGGGACCAGAAGTGGCATTCAACACTAAAATAAGTGAGTGTGAATTACTATAATTTTAGGAAATCAAGCATGCAACACATCTGGCCACACTTAAAGTGAGAGGATGGGCTCATCTACCCTGAAACAACTGGTCCCTGGGAGGGAAGCTTGACCAGCGGCAAAGCCGCACAACAATGGGCATGCATCATCTGTCAGCCTAGGGGGCGCTAGGCTTCAACAGCTCTCCTCTGCTCAAGGAAAGAGCCAGTAATGTGAACGTAGTTAGACCCTGGTTCTTCATAGTCTGAATAAGATTCTGAGTCCCTGAAGAAAAGGAGAAGACCCTCAAAAAGATAGTGCTGAATTTCCTGCTGCTGGAAAATGTGACCAGTTCTAGTAATACAGAAATAAATGTACTTCTGTGAAAAGTTAAGCTGCTCATTCTGTTACCATTTTATAATTAACATTGTCAATGAGATTCACCCAAAAGAATATCTTAATCAATTCTTAAATTTGGAAATTAATAAATACAAGTTTTATTCCAAATTCCACATATGGAGAAAATGCAGTATGCATGTTTTTTTGTTTGTTTTGCTTTTTAAAACTTTATTTCATTGTAACTATGCTTACAGAAATATACTCATATTGGCTAATAGAATGCAAGTTTAACTTATCCTACACAATTTGGACCAAAAACTTGATTTGAAAAAAAGGATTGCAATGTGTTTTTTTGTTTGTTTGTTTTTAATCTATTACAAATCCATAAAAGATCCTACATCAAATTCTGCTAAAGAAAGCAGCAAGAACTTTGAGAAATTTACCTTTGGTTTGCCTCAGACAAATAACATTTATTGCACTGCATAAGTTTATAAAATTGGGGCAACAAAACATTGTTGTAGAAGGGCGTGAACCCGGGAGGTGGAGATTGCAGTGAGTGGAGATCTTGCCACTGCGTTCCAGCCTGGGCAACAGAGCGAGACTCCATCTCAAAACAAAACAAAACAAAACAAAACAAAACAAAACAAAAACATTGTTGTAATATTTTTCAATGCCAGTTTAGAAAGTTCAATAACTAATGGATATGGAAGGGGCTGGGAGGGAGGCTATGTAAACATGCGAAATCGTAAAAGCTATTTGATTTAGTTAATATTGTATGTAGACTGTAAATCTACAAAAACCAGGATTCAGATAATCTCTTCAATCTCAATTGACACTATTTGTTCACTTCACCTGCTGAGGGCAACCAGAAAACTGGGCACATTAGCTATAAGTTTTTCTGACTTACATCAATAAATAAATAAATAAATAAGTAAATAATAAGTTTCTTCCTCAGCTTTTCAATGCAAGAATGAGAGTATACTACAGACAAGGTATTTTTTCCATTGTGAACATTCATAGGGTGACATGCAATGAAGTCTACTTGGGTTTTAATTTGTATCAACACTCATAGGCAAAATAGCCTCCAAAGTTAATGACCACATGACTTTAGGAGTGGCTCAAAAATAAAATGGCACTTCTTACAAGACGAGAGCAAAACATCCAGCCATAGTTATAAGCCTTATCAAAAAAATGCAGCCCCTTGTGAATTACACCTCAATAAAAAAGTAGCCCCAAAATAAGACACAGGTCTGAAAAAAGAAGAAAAATTATAACTTAAAGTATCTTGAAAACCAATGTGAATATAGGTTGGAAAGATAGTTAAGAGATTAATTTTCATAAGACTACTCAAGATAAAGGCTTGTAATGTAATCTAGTAGTTAAAGTTTATCACCGGTTACTAAACATCAGTTTACAAATAACATGTTCATTTTTTGTTCTTTTATCAAAAGGGAAAATTCTAGCTTTAATCCTATTGCACTTTTCTATAGATGTAATTTATCCATAAAAGGCATTACATATACATTACACGACATAATTAATAGTATGTATTAATATTCTAATACCACCCTGTTCCTCCTTAATAAAGGACTTGTGAAAGCCCTTAGGCAGTATAAATCAAACCTTAATTTACCCTAAATTATTCCTTAGTTTGGTTTAAAAACATTTATTCAGTGCTTACTATGTACAGGTACTATGCTTAACAGCATTATTACAAAGCTAAATAAGGTTTAATCTCTCTCCTCATGAAGTTACAGTCTATTCTTGTTTCATTTAAATAATTAATGCATGTAAAATATTTAGATATGCTTGGCTCATAATAAGTACTTAAGTATCTGTAGGCATTAGCAATGATAGCAGTCATAGTCATAATAGCAATAATGGTAATTGTATTGCATTGCTCAAGTTCTACTGATCTCTTCTTTGCTACTTTTGACCCAGCTGACTGCACTGGGATTGATGTCTTCCATTAGCCAGGGTTCAAAACAGTAACTGTAGATTTTTTCAATCTCCATCTAAAATGAATCAAAGCTTCTTTTAACTTTGATTATTTATTAATATTTGCCCTAAGATTTGTTTCTTTTGAAACATCCTTCAAAATATCTGCTTTTAATCACTCATTACCCTAGAAATGGATTCCTTTTACACATTCAGATCTCAACTACTTACTCAGTTTTATTATGTTATTCAAGTTTTTTTCTCATATTCATTTTCAATTTGGTAAGAATAATAAATTCCTGAATCTGGTCTGAGGAGAAAGAAATTCCTGAATTTCCCTCCTGAAGGAAACAGTAAAAAATACAATATAACTGAAACATGCGCCAATAGATTGCTGCAGCTTAAAGGTACTACAGTATTTAGCAAGTACTAGTAGTTTTGCTGTCTTTTCTTCCTGACACAAAAAACCAGAGCTCTGAGGCTTTCCTGATCACTAGGTCATGAATGTCTACAGTAGTCTAGTTTCTCTTTTTTTCTTCCAGCTCTTTCTCATTTTCTACTACATCCCTTGACTCTTGAGGATTTATGAGCTAAAGAAACCTGTAGCTCTTTCTTGACAGAGTTTTTTATTTGTAATTCTTCACTACTGTTCTGAGGCATAGAACAGTACACACTCAAGTTTCATTCCAGGACATCGGAACCTTCACACTGAAGCCCACCAGATGTTCTGTTGCCTTGGAGAGCTAGATCATGTTTCATATTTTTAAAGATCTTTTTTATCTTATGCCCACTGTTTCATATAGAGGCCTAAATATAATTTTTAAAAGGATAAACGGAAAGTCTTTTTCAAAATTCCTTAGTAAGTTAGAACCATTATTTATGAACCTTCAATGACCTAACACTGACTGATATTCAGAGACTAAAAAGTTGTATTACTTTAGCCAAAATCTAGCTATCCCTTATGATTTGAATCTGCATACTCCTGAATTTGGATAGAGTAAGCTTAGATTGTGAAAAAGACTGTATTTCCCCATGTGTTTACTCCTCTGTTTCAGAAAGCCAGATATAAAAATATTAAAAGTTCTTTTTCTCCAAAAGACCTTAAATAAAGAATATCTAAAATTCCCAGACTCTGAGATTAGATAGAAAGGGACGTTTTTATCTTTGTAGGGTGAGAAATCAGGAGAGAAGTAATCTAAATTTTCTACTCACTCTCTGATTTTCTAACATTATGTTCAGATGCTGATGTTAAAATTAAAGTTATAAATTGTAGCACAGCATGACCATTTGCCAAATGTAATATTTTTACTTAACCGAAAGGTAGATTTCAAGTTTCCTTTTAATCATACTTTCCCATGGGCATTAAAATATATGACTTGATTTACACAGCTTTGCAAAAATATCTGTTGGCATAATGGCGTAAATCTGCTGCTGTCAGAGTTGATAAGAGAATGCACCATCTCAAGAATGAGTAAATCTACTGATTGGGTTGAACATGCAGCCTGCAGATGTGAGATGTCATTGCACACCCAGGCGATGCTATTTTCTTTGTCTCATCACCAGCTGGCAAAAGATACTTGAACAACTGACAAGAGAGACAAACTGCAGGTGCTCTAGACAAAGAAATCTATCTTTGCATTTTTCCAAGAGTAACCATTAAGGAAGAATCTTCGTCAGATGATGAGATAGGTATAATTCAATGTACATTAATGAACATTTTGTCAAAAGAAAAAGAAAAAAACGCCTTTCTGCCATAGTGTCCTTTATACATATTCCTCTGCCCCACTCACATTGTCATTCATTTTACTATCAGGTTCATCTCATGGGAACACTGGTGTGTACATATCCTTCCTCACAGAACACTTCATGGAGACGGGGCTTCCTGGCTCTACCACCAAGCCCTGGCTGTGTTTCTGGCCTTAAGCCTACTCCTCATTCTCTACGTTTCATGCATCTCACTCACCAGATCCTATCTTCCCTCTCTCCAGCTTGCTCACCCCAACACATCTACACTATGTCTTTGACAAAGATCTAAAATCCATTAATGCTTCTCTTCTTTACTATCCCACATCCTGCTGTCCTCGTTTCTGCTCTTATCCAGCTTAGGTTCCTCTCTGTTCTGTTAAATTAACGTGGCAAACGCCCAACTTCTGGTTAAAGCCAACTCTCTATTTAATACATGTTTGCTCCAGGGCAGCAAACACATTGCAGAAAAACACATAATCATGCTGATTGGTCTCACTGCAAATATGAACCCTGCATGAGACTGGGTGCATACCAAATGGGCCTTTAGTCATCATGCTGGTTGTCCAGTCACTTTTTCACCCTCCAGATGACAACTAAATACCTTCTCAGGCTTCCAACCACTTTCTAAATCTCCTCCCTCAGCCTCACTCTCAGATGATAATCATGTTTGTTATTTTTCTGAGAAAATATTAACAATCAAAAGAGAAATCTAACAAGTTCCCCATAAACACATACCTACCACCACCATTTATAATTCCCCTGTATTTTCCCCTTCTCCTGTTGATAAGCACTACTCCATTTTCCAATCCAATGCCAAGTACCATATGTGTGCAATGGGTCTAAGACATCACTTCTCCCATAGTCAAGACGATCACTCCAATAATTCCACTCCTCTCTTCTGTGTATCCAATTTCTTATTCTCTCTCTATTGCATTATTCTCATCCATGTATGAACATACTGGTATTACTTCTATCTTGAAAATTAAAATTACACAGAAAACATATTTTTGACTTTGTTTTCCTGGTAGCAACCACTCCTCTTCCTGATTCCCATATACAGCAAATGAGAAGTATCCTTGAAAGAGAAGTGGGTATTGAATTCTACATTTCCTATCTTCTCATCCTCTTTTGGATCCATTCCAATTCTGTTATCATTATCTTACTCTACAAATCAGTTTTTATCTTAGTCATCGAAGATCTCCACATTGTCCAATCAATTAATCAAGTGACTATATTAATCATATTTAATCTCTGAGCAAGTTCTCAAATTTATAACTTCAGCCTGGATTTTCTGATTTTCAAACACATATACCCCAAATTTATTTGCCATCTTTACTTGAATATCTGAGAAGCAACTCATACTCTGTAGGTAAAAAACTGAAGTAGTGATTGCACAGTATCCTACTCCACTTTGCTCCTCCTCCCCCCGCCCCCCCCAACAAAAACCCTATTCTTTAAAGAGTCTTTTCCATCAGGATAAATGAAAATTGCATTTACAGATATTCAGGACAGAATCCTGAGTCCTTTATGACTTCTGTCTTTCTATTCTACACTGCATCTAATCCATTCATAAATCACATCTTCTCTATTTTCAAAGTATATTTACTTCTTACCACCTACACTACTAACACCCTGGTCTAACCCACCAATGATTTATCACTAAGATTATTACAATGGCCTCCTAACTAGTGCCTCTGCTTCCTTCCCTGCCTTCCTACAGTATATTTTATAAAGCAGTCAAATTACACACACAGTTTACTCAGTATTAAACCCAATGGCCTCACCATGACCTATGAAGTCTTATATTCTTTCCCCTCGCGACTTCTCTGACCTCCTATAAAACCACCCCCGCCTTACCTACACTGGACTTCTTACTTTTTCTTAAACTTTACACCCCTCTTCCCCAGGGCATTAGTACTTGAGGCCTTCTTTAACTTAGCACATCTTTCCTCAGCAATGCACATAGCCCACTTCCCCTCCTTCCTTCAGGCCTTGGCTCAAATATCACTTTATCGTAGTGGCCTTCCCTGATCATCCTATACAAAATAGCAACACCACCCCCTGAAGTCTGCCCCCTGGAACTTTCATTTCCTACTTAGTCCCCTTTATTCCATTTAATTATTCTTCCAAGTCATTATATGTATGCATAGGAGAGAGAGAGAGAGAGATTAGTATTTCTCTATTATCTATATCCACATAACAAATTATGTCAAAATTTACCATCTTAAAATAACAATTATCTCACAGTTTATATGGGTAGGAATGCAGGTGTTGCTTTCAGGGGTTCTCACAAGGCTGTAGTCAAAGTACTAGCCAGGGCTATAGTCATCTCAAGACTTACCTGGGAGGAGCCACTCCAAGCTCACTCACTTGACTGTTGGCTGACCTCAGGTTCACTGCCAGTTTAATGCCCCATGGATCTCTCTATAGGGCAGCTCCCCACATGGCGGGTGGCTTCCATCTCAGTGAGCAAGAAAGAGAGCAAGACACAGCAAGAAAGATGGAAGACACAGGCTTTGGGGCACCAGATTATTATTTTTTTTCCAGCCAAGTCACTTGGTCCTTATAAATGCAGTTTTTCTGAATTAGTATTAACTTGAATTTTGGTTTATTGTAGGCTCAAACCTTCCTATTTTTTTTAACTTCTATTTTAGGTTCGGGGTGCATGAGAAGGTTTGTTGCATGGGTGAACTCCTGTCACAGGGGTTTGTTGTGCAGGTTATTTCATCAACCAGGTATTAAGCCTACTACCCAATAGTTATCTTTTTTGCTCTTGTCCCTCCTCCCACTCTCCATCCTCAAGTGGACCCCAGTGTCTGCCGTTCCTTTCTTTATGTTCATGTGTTCTCATCATTTAGCTCCCTCTTATATGTGAAAACACGCAGTATTTGGTTTTCTGTTTCTGCATGAGTTTGCTAAGGATAATAGCTTCCAGTATCATCCATGTTCCCACAAAAGACATGGTCTCATTCTTTTTTATGGCTGCATAGTATTCTGTGGTGTATGTGTACCACATATTCTTTATCCAGTCTGTCATTTATGGGCATTTAGGTTGATTCCAGGTCTTTGCTACTGTGAGTAGTGCTGTAGTGAGCATTCTTGTGCATGTATCTTTATGGTAGAATGATTTATGTTCCTCTGGGTATATACCTAGTAATGGGATTGCTGAGTCAAATTGTAGTTCTCCTTTTTGCCCTTTGAGGAGTCGCCATACTGCCTTCCACAATGGTTGAATTAATTTACACTCTCACCAACAGTGTATAAGTGTTCCCTTTTTCACAACCTTGCCAGCATCTGTTATTTTTTGACTTCTTAATAATAGACATTCTGACTGGTGTGAGATGGCATCTCATGGTGGTTTTCATTTGCATTTCTCTAATGATAAGTGATAGTAAGCTTTATTCATATGCTTGATGGCCACATGTATGTCTCTTTTGAAAAGTGTCTGTTCACATCCCCTGCTCACTTTTTAATGGGGTTGTTTTTCTCTTGTAAATTTAAGTTCCTTATAGATGTTGGATGTAAGACCTCTGCCAGATGCATAGTTTGCAAATATTTTCTCCCATTTTGTAGGCTGTCTGTTTACTTTGTTGATAGTTTCTTTTGCTGTGCAGAAGCTCTTAAGTTTCATTACATCCCACTTGTCAATTTTTGCTTTTGTTGAGATTGCTTTTGTTGTCTTTGTCATGAAATCTTTGCCCATTCCTATGTCCAGGATGGTATTGATTAGGTTGCCTTCCAGGGTCTTTATAGTTCTGGTTTTACATTTAAGTCTTTAATCCATCTTGAGTTGATTTTTTGTATATGATTACCTAATTTCTAAAGTGGCATCCCATTATGTTTGCCATATTCTGTCATTAGAAGCAAATCACTAAGTCCCACCCACTCTCAATGGGGAGGGGATTCCAGGAGGTAAGAATCATTGGACACCATCTTTTAGGCTGCCTACCACTTCCTCCTACTAGCATATAAGCTTGATGGAGACAGAGACTTTATTGTGTTCACTTCCATATTCCAGAGCGTAGAACAATGCCTGACCACAGAGTAGTCACTCAATATTTATCTGTTAATCATATGAGCTAACATTTCTATCCCATTGCTTTCTTGCCTAGGACTCCTGTCCCCATTAAAATGAGAGGATGCTTTCTGTGGTGTATTAGATTTAGTATTTTATTCAGAATTAGACCTCCTAAGGAGAATTTTCTCTTTTCAACCTTAGCATGTTAAGGCTCTGTCTTCCATTCAGAGCTCATGTTAGATGGTACCACTGCTACCTCCACCTCCTCGATGCCCCTACTACCTTCTCCACCTTCTATGAACTCATGCAGTACCTGTGCTATATAGCCTCATGATCGCTTATCTGTATGTCTGATCTCCTACAAACCAATAACTCATTGAAACCAAATACCATGTGTTCAACAAATGTAAGTCCAGCCAAGTTGGAGCAGGGCCTGTTTATATAGAGTAGTCATAGAGTACCTGGCAGAGTACTTGCATACTGTAGGTACTTGACAAACATTAGTGGTAAATAAGTTGGTAGGTTTCACTTTTTTGCCATTCCTAGTTCTTTATAAATTTTTGGTAAATACTTGTTAACTAACTGAATTCAAGCCCTGAAATCATTTATAACCAATGAATGGCATGGCATGAGCCCCTGTTACATCTTTCAACTGAAAGGTTGGTCAGAGAGAAAGCGGGAAATATAGGGTGGAAGAAAGATCCAGACTAGAAATCATCTAACTTGGACAATACAAACCTTGGGCCTCAATTTTCCCGATTATGACCATGAGGAGGTGAGCAGGGTTGGTGTAAAATATGAGTTAATTTCCTTTAATGGTCTGAAACCTCAAGTCTTTAAAGGCGGGCTTATTTGGAGTGTCTCCTACTCAAAGCATCTGAAACTGCCTGGATTCACATTAGCCTTAAATTTCATCTTCAAGTTCCTAGGCACAGCAACAAGAAGGGCCCAAGCCAGACTAATCCAAGCTGCTCATTAAATACATCTACAGCAACAAATTACCCAAAGCCCCATGTTTTCACCCAGTATTGATTTATGTAGAAAAAGTAATCCAAGCTCTGGAGTCCTCCTAGTCATAGCAATTATTATTATTATTATTTTGTCAACAAGAACACCCCTTAGAGCAGAAAATTCAAGACTCTTCATGTAAGCCAGAAATACAGGAATGATTTTCCTAGTTCCATGAGATTTGCTAGAAGATGGCAGTAAAAGGTAGATGCTTGTGATTATATGGCAATAATTTGTATTAAATCAAGCCAAGGATTTTATGAAGATATAATATCCAGTCCTGTCACAGCTGCCATATTGTCATGGTGACCTAAACATAGCCAAAAATCATCAAAATTATCCACATATCATACATATTCCCTTGGCTCACCTACACTAGTACAACAAAGTTGCTGCCCATCACCCCCAGAGCTCCATAAGTCTTCTTTGCCTGCCTTGGTAAAGAAGAATCAACATCACACTCGGATTGGGGTCACCTCAGATTTGGTGTGAATCCAAATTTGCAATCCATCTAGCTTAGCACATGTGCTTCAGCAGCCTGGCAGAGAAAACACAATTGGAGTCGTGTTTTACTGTCTCACTGGATATAAGCAGATTACTTTCCAGGGGGAAAGTTTTCAGGCTATTTAGGACATTCAGATTGTAGTAAACATGTAATACTGGGCTC
Source organism: Homo sapiens (assembly GCF_000001405.40). Classification (NCBI taxonomy): domain Eukaryota; kingdom Metazoa; phylum Chordata; class Mammalia; order Primates; family Hominidae; genus Homo; species Homo sapiens. The sequence goes on along the minus strand of NC_000011.10, from coordinate 104,322,775 downwards.
TGAATCAAACCGGAGTTAAAACAGACTTTTGAACATTATTCTAGTTCCCGTTAAAAGTTAAGCAGGTGAGTCTTGCACCTAAAATCATCATATGGCATTTTAGTATCTTCATGTTTCCAAGGTCAATAGGCAGCCCCTTATGGTGCCTTGGAGTGAGAGAGGGAGAGAAAGAGAGAGAGAGAGAGAGAGTGTGTGTGTGTGTGTATATCCTCACGTGTGCACACAGGCACACAGGCATGCATACCTTAAAACAGCAAGCTACATTTGCATCGAGGGATCCATCTGCTCCAACTACAATAAACAATCTACATAGGCTTAAAACATATGGATGGCAGGGTTGATGTGACTTAAGGGCAAAGCATTTGCCCAGAGTTCTGCATTCTTTGATCAACACATTTCAGAGCTTGCTTCATTGTCCTCAAGGGTCCACTCAGATCGTTTCCACTGGCAAGTCACAGAAGGAAATCCTTATGTAAATATTGATAGGATCCCATTGCCTTTCTGTTCACATGCTGTGCACTTTACCTGGATTTTCTGCTTGTTTGCTTGCTTGTTTTCTTAGTGCCTAGAATAGAGAAAATATATTCCAGAGTTCTGTTTTTGTTTTCTGGATGACCACCTACATCCTAGTGAGAGCCGTGGTCACGAAGGGGAATAATTATTTAAACTTCATCTGACTATGCTGGAATCCTTGTCCAATACCAAAGAAGCTCAAAGGAACTGCTTAGCACAAAGCTGTGATCTGCACAAGTCAGGCCACTATGTGAGGGCAGCCATTTGGGGAAATGAGAACTTTTATCTTTATAAAAGATTTTGAGTGTTTCTTCCTCTTGTCCTCAATTTGTGTTGCCCTTTTTTTAAAAAAATAAAAATTTTGGAATGCTACTTTACCTGTCTCCATGTTCCAACTCAGCCTTCTCCTATTTCTATTTGTCAGAACAAGGTCATTTATTAGGTAAGTAAGTATTAGAACTTACTTCATAGCACTAGTTACTTTTTACAGAAAACCTCAAGAAAGATAATTTAATAAATTCCTCTATTTATGAAGTTCAGGACCCATCAGGTCTGTGTGAAGAAGAGAATTCTGGGTGGCAACATAGTCTCTGAATTCTTTCTCTTAGACCACATCTCCCCAGAGATGAATGTATTATGTTTAAGACATGTTCTCTTTTTATGTATTAGATAAAATATATTTAAACCACCTTCTGGAGAATGTTTAGACTCTTGAAAAGTCACATATAGTGGTAATGGAAAAATAATTTCTAGAAATAATTAGTAGTACAAGAAATAGACAATTATAAAAATTATTTTTATTATCAATTTATTATTTATTATTGAATAAAAAGAGTAAATCAACATCTCCCTTTCCCAACTTTTTGGTGTAAGTAGAAAAAAAAAACCCACCAGAGTTGGATACACAGTTTAAGAGCTGAGTTATCCCTAGAAGAGATCTGAATAGATCAGAAAAACAGGCCTAGAGTTTTAAAACTCTGATTTTAAATGCCAGAGTCCTATCAAAAATAGTAAGTGGAATGCGACTGGTTCCTCACTTAAGATTTCATGACTTAAGGAAAAAGCAAAATCACCTTGACTCACTGTTAAACATGCTTGAACAGATTCATGCTAACCTGACCTTGTCTAGTTGGGTCTTTCCAGCCAAACCAAGCTATCTAAACTACAGCTAGAGTGCTCCAGAAGAAGAAATGAGCCATGGGGTAGAAAGCTTATCAGTTCTTGTCTTATGTTAATAATAATATATTTTATATGCAGCTGACATATGATGTAAATGTATGTATTTTGATATATTGCTAGAGTGATTAGTATGACAAAATGCAGAACTAATACCTAAGCAATCATCCCACAAATTGAAGACAGTGAAATATCCTTACAAATGTTAAGAATGGCTTCAAGAAAGACATAAATTACAATCCAGCATGTGCCACAAATATCACTTATTTGTTCTTAGAATGAGCCTTGGGTATGGGGGATAGGAATATTCTAGAAAAACTGTCTTATCTAATATTATTATTTATAAAATAATGAATGATCCATGGGGGCAGAGGTTTTGCCTGTTTTTTTCCCCCTTTTTTCTCTGCTAAATATGTAATGATGTATGTGTGGTGGTGCTTGATGGTAAAGTTCCTACACATGTAGGTTCTGAAGTGGACATAATAGGTCCTCCCACCTAGCTATTGACATGCTCTCCCTGCTCTTATTCTCACTCCACAACCAACCATCTAGCCCTCAACCAACACAAGTGGAATTTCTTTCAAAGTAAATTCATTCTACTACCTAGGAGCCCTTTATGACCCAGCCCTGCCTCCCACATGATTTCCCTCTGACCATCCCTCCACCCTCTATGGCAGCTGGCTGCACCAGCCCTCATTGTGATACTGAACAGAGCCATGTGCATTTTTGTCTTTGGGTCTCTGCACCAGCATTTCCCTCTGCTTGGAATGTTCTGCCTGATTCATGTGGTTGGCCTTCTGCTTATTCAAATCTCAAATAAATGTCTTTAAATAAACATAGGAACCATAGTAGCAGTCAACACTTTTACAGCATCTACCACATGCCTGGCACCATCCTAAATGCTTTACATACATGAACTCATTTAATATGTTTAGCAAACCTACAAGTAGATTGTCATCAACCACATTTTACAGATGAAGAAACTAAAGCACAGAGAGGCTAAGAAAACTGCCCAAGGTCAGACCCTATAAAGTAATGGAGATGATTTGACTTCATGTCTGAAGTCCATTATTTTAACCACTTCTCCATTCTGCCTCTCAGAAAATCACCACCCAGTTACCCTGTATCATATCATCCTATTTTAATATTCTTGATAGCACCTATTACTACCTGATAATTTTCATATCTATTATTTGTCTATATATCTATTTCTGTACTTTTTCATATTGTCTGTCTTCCTTTCCTAAACTGTAACTTCTCTGAGGGCAAGGTGCAGCTTTGGCTTGCTTAGTGCAGAGGATCTGGCTTCTAAAGCAGGGCCTGGCACGAAGGAAGCACCCACCAAACATTTGCTGAAGGATTAATTAGTGAACTAACTGCTGTGTGCCTGACTGCTTGTTGGCTCCAGGCTCCGGGGTGTTGAATTGAACCTGGCCATTCACCCCAGGGGGGTTCAGAGTCCTCATCCATTAGTTCACCTCCCTGGGACCAAGCCCGATGATTCACCCTGGCCCAGCTGATGAGAGATTGACATCAGAATGACAATTTATTAATTCACTGTGAAGAATGTTCCTGTCAGCCAGAAAGCACTTTCACCACCTGTTAGGGAAGCCTCGGTGGGAAAGCAAATTAAGATTAGAAGGTTGCTCAGCAAATATAAAACCAAAGCAAAGGGAATTTGAAGACTTCACAAGACATTTTAATCAAGCAAAGGTGGCTCGGCAAATCCCTCTTCCCAACCGCCAGGCAATTCTCACAAGTAGGCCAGATTGTTCACTCAACAGGCACTGGCATCCTTTCACAACGACTGTACATTCGCACTCCCCAACTCTCTAGAAATCTTCCTTCTCCCATTGATCTCAAGACTCCTTTGTATTTGCCTTTTCCTGTTCCTTCAGATCAGGAGAAGAAAATCATTTAAAATGTCCTTTCCAGGAGGCACCACCTTAGCCCTGTAAGGGTTCTTGCACTGTATCTTTTGTCTGGTGACCTCTTATGTGACTCGGTTGCAAAATGACTGAACTCAGAGTCTCAAGATATAATCTACTTGGCTCAGACTAGTTCATGAATTGGTTGTTTTGAGATAAGATTTCTATATCTGGTCTAATTTTTGATGTGGGGTCAGAGTGTAGAGGGAGACAAGGAGTTGTACAAACAAGTCAGCTGAGGGGAGAGAGGCAGTTTCTCTTGGGAAAGGATGTATGCAGGGAAACAATAATGACCATATCTAAGGCACAACTAAATATGCCTGCCTTAGTCTTAGATTGTGCAATTCGTTTCCACTGTCCACTTCCAAATAAAATACTGCCTTTGGATTTATTGTAACATTATGGCTTATACTTATAACTATTTATAGTGACAGTACAGCATAGTGAGCAAGAGGACATACTATGAAATAACACAGACTATATTTTATTTAACCCAATATTTACTATATTAATTTGCTAAGTCTCATTTCCCTCATAATTATAGCACCAACTTCACAAGCATTGTCATGAGTATTCAGTGAAATAATGCTCACGAAGTCCTTAGCACAGTGCCCGGCACTTATTAAACAGATGTAAAATATGAGATATTAATAATTATTATTATTTAGCTAATGACAAAAGGATTTGGCTATGTCTAAGTAGTACAAATGCTTCCAAATACAGAATAGTATAAAATGGTTCCTATAATTTGAAAGAAAAATAAGTTCTAAAAAGGATCTTATAGATAAAACGCCATTTAAATATAGCCAGGGTAGAGTCTCCTTGTAAATCTGCCTCCTACGCGATGAGAGATGTTGTCCATACCTCCAGCCAAGTGCGTTGCTAGCACACCAGGTGCCTGGACAATCACGTGCCAAGGTTAATTCAGAATCTCTTAGGAAATAAATAAAAATAAAATGTCTATAATCAATTATGACTAACAAACACTACAAATCCCTTCTGGGAAGTCGCAACGCGCATTACCATATTAAGGGTAGTAGAAAAAATCTCTTTAAAGAATCAGATTGAATTTGCTTTATTTACCTGTCTTATTTGACAACAAACAGAAGCCCTCCTATACACACCTATTTTTTCAATTTTATGTCTATTATCTCCCAAAAATAATATTTGGAGGATGTTTTATAAACATTGCTTTAGGGAGAGATTCTAGGGTATTTGGTCACTTTATTTCCACTTTCGAATATGTACAGAAACTGAAAAATTCCCCTACAGATGACCTGACAAATACAATGATTTCTGACTTTTAAATTTTACCTTCAACCTCAAGGCTATCACCATTGTAGTAAGTGGAATAATGACTCCTCTCCCACAACAAAAGATTTTCATGCAACAGTCACCAAAACCTGTGATTATGTTGCTTTACCTGGAAACGGAACTTTGCAGATATGATTAAGGATAAGGACTTTGGGAAGGGGAGATTATCCCAGATTATTTAGGTGGACCCTATCTAAGTACACGCAACCTTAAAAGTGAAGGACCTTTCCCAGCTGGAATGATTATAACTTGACCATGAAAGAATGATCAGAAAGATGCCACATAGCAAGGACTTGGCCTCCTTTGCTGGCCTGGTAGATGAAGGAAGGGGCCATGAGCCAAAGAATGCAGTACTTTTAGAAGGTGGAAACAGCCCTCTGCTTACAGCCAACAAGAACACGGAGACCTAGATCCTATTACTGCAAGGAACTGAATTCTGCCAATAAATGGAATTAGCAAAGAAACAGATCCTCCTCCAGGACCTATAGAAAGCAATGCAGCCTAAAGACACCTAAATTTTAGCCTAGTGAGACCTGCGTCAAACTTCATCTACGGAACTGTAAAATAACAAAGTTGGACTGTTTTATGCCTCTTAGTTTGTAATAATTTATTAGAGGAGAGACAGGAAATGAGTACAATCATCTTCACAAATAACAGTTTTGAGCACTTAATCTGTGCCAGACTCTTCTCTGTCTGCATGCATGCATGCATGTATCAGCCCATTCAATCCTCATAACTACCCAAAGAGGTAGATGCTATTAAAATCCCTATTTTTGGAGTAAAGACTGAAGCACAGAGAGATTAAGGAAGTTGCTCAGGGTCACGTCGTTACTAAGTGACAGAGCGGGAATTCAAATGCAGGCCAGATCTCTAGACTCCAGACTCTGATTCATGAGGAACACCTGCTCAGGGAGGCTCACATTCTAGAAAAAATTTAATAGTCTGGTCTTCCTCAGATATAATTGACTCTTTCACTAAAGTTAAGTTATAAATCTCTAATTTATCTCTATATTTAATTTAGACCCAAAATTTTCTGCTTTTCAGATGATGCAAATTATGAAACCAAACTGATCATGAATTGTACTAATTTTATTAGCCTAATTTTAATTTTACACACAAACAAATTCATGCATCCAATTAATCATAATCCCAGATCTTGGAGAAATATTCTTCACACTGTTTTAAAATTCTCATCTATTACTGGCAAAATACTGAACTCCTGAGTTTTCTACTTATATATGTCTCTATTTTTAACCCAGGTAACTTACTAATTAATTAAATGTGCGGCTGCTATATGCTCAGTATTTTGAGTAAAGTAAGGGGAATATAAAAGAAGTTTGTAAGGAATAGTCTTGACTCTCACACTCTATAAGGGTTTAAGAAGAAGAGACACACATCAGAATCAATTTTTGTAAAATTCTCGACTTAGAGAAATACCCCCACCACCATCCCAGGAACACGAACACTTGAATATTCAATACTTTAGAGTTGAACTAACTAGAATTCGATCCACTTATTACAATCTTTCCTGTATTTTTTTCTCTACATTTGAAGTAAGTTAAATAAATTTTCTATCAATCAAGACTGAAAGACAGAGATACAGTACATGGTTGAACACCTACACACAGAAATACACACACAGGCACATAATACAGCACATATATAGACTCCGCTTCTCCAACCTCACTTCACAAACATAGGCCCTCTCAACCCCTTCAGTAAGGGGTCAAAACCTATTTCAAACACTTTTAACACATGGGTCCTTCTAAACATCTAAGACGGCAAGTCCTGCAATGCCTTTTAAGATTGGCCCTTTGGCTGGGTGCAGTGGCTCCTGCCTGTAATCCCAGCACGTTGGGAGACCGAGGCAAGCGGATCACTTGAGGCCAGTAGTTCAGGACCAGCCTGGACAACATGGTGAAACCCTCATCTCTACTAAAAATGCAAAAATTTGCTGGGCATGGTGGTGTATGCCAGTAGTCCCAGCTACTTGCTACTGGGGAGGCTGAGGTAGGAGAATCACTTGAACCCAGGAGGCAGAGGTTTCAGTGAGCCGCGATGGTGCCACTGCACTTCCAGCTGGGCAACAGAGGGAGACTCCGGCTCAGAAAAAAAAAAAAAAAAAAAAAGACTGGCCCTTTGTAACCCTGAAAAACATCTTTAAATAAACATTGTAAAATGTCTCAGAAAAACATGAGGAAAACAGAATAACCCTGAAAAACATCTTTACATAAACATTGTAAAATGTCTCAGAAAAACATGAAGAGCAAGAGTAACACGGATGCCCACTGGGTTGTCTCTCTTTCCCTTTGAGAAGACAGCAGCCAAGAGTTCACCACGCTGGCAGAGTATCTAGTCTTTCTGTATTTCTTGCAGCTTCCCTCTCTTGAGCCATAGGTCTAAGTTTTCCCCTCCAGGCATCACCATCAACAGTTCCCCTCATGTGGAATTCTAATATACGAGAGTTAATTAACTAGAGACCTTCTCCACAGAGAGTTCAAGAGTAGGTGGAAAAGTCTATATTCCCAAGACTGAGCAGGTATAGGCAAAATTTATTTTCTAAAGGATTAAGATTTGCAATAAAGAAGAAAGAAAAATTAGTTTCTAACTAACGCAAACTTGTTTTGAATATCAAAACAGAAGACACATGAAGACTTGGGACCCTCATATAGGGAGTTCCTCTGAGGATACTTATTTGATTCCTAGTCTAGCTCCTCTAAATTCAAGTTCACATGCCATTTTCCTAATCCATTCAGGTCTTATGCAAAGTCTTTACCTCTGAGAAAAAATCTGTTTATCTCAGAGAAAAAAAATGCTTCTCTCCCTGTATACTTTCCTCTTTCCCTTAACAGATTACCAAAGTCTACATCTTACAAATTTGAGTCGCTTTCCAAGGCTTTGGCAGGGTGCACATTGATTTCTTACCACCCAAGCCCTGCAACGTAAGAGAAAGGTGGGGAAGAGGTGGTACAAAATAAGCCCTGCTTCTTGGTGTGATATGAAATGAGATGCCCCAGTCCAGATTCTCTCTTTGACATTTCCATAAGTGGGAACACTAAACTTGCTGGTTTCTTTAAATAATATTTTTTCTTCCCCTTTTCCTATTGACAGCCTGAAAACCCAGGTAGTTGGATGAAGAAAGGTGCTATTAGCCAGGTACCTGCAACTCCCTCATCTATTCTCCCACACCTCACCCTCTTTTCTTGAGTAGAATCATTGAGACACCATCGAGGTACTGTTAGGTAAAGTTATCTTCGTTTCATTCCTGCTCCATCCAAATATTTGGGATTCATAAATAGCTGTATTTTTATGTAAGTGAGAACTTAGAAAAATATTATCTAAATGATGATATTTGTTCAACTCAAATCTTTTTCCACCGAGGGTAAAGATCATAGCTTCTATTATGCAGACATGCCTTGTTCTCTCTTTGACAACTTTCCTCCAAATACTTTCTAATATCTGTTTATTGTTTCAAACTCTATTGCAGAATGGTAGCCAGTCCCACCTTTCTCTGGAATTAAGAGCCTTTTCAGTTGCTAGCTTTAACTTGCTTGCTTATGATTGGAGGCACAAGTTTAGCTCATGCTTGCAATAAACAATAAATAAAGGCCTGTTGTCATTATGAGAGGCAGCCTTCTAGTTGAACAAAACTATACATGAGAACCACACAAAGGCATTTGGAATCTTGGAAATCAGAATTCAAATGTCATGATCTCAGGATTATTTTCAAACTACCCTTTCTTGGCTCAGGAATAAAAACAGTGGTATGAAAGGTACAGGGTCAGGAGACACTGGCACCGATACACAAGATGGAACCCATGATAGTTATTCTGTATAGTATTTCCGTTTGAACTTGTTTCTTTAGAGTTAAATGTAGTATCTTTTCTTTCTAGGTAACATTAGGATACTTTTTTTTATCATTAACAAACCTATAAAAAGAAGACATACATTGTGTCTACAGAAAAATAGTCAAAAGCCAAGATCTGTAGCCTAATAGAAAGCTCCAGAACCTATAACTGAATATGCACCCTCTCAAAGGGGCTTGCTCCTTTCTCTACTCGAATTTCTGACATCCTTTTTACAGATGCATTGTGTTTTGTTTTCTGTATCTTTTTTTAACTGCCATCTATGTTTTATTTTTATTTATTTTTAGCTTTTAGGTTCAGGGGTATGTGTGAAGTTTTATTATATAAGTAAACTTGTGTCATGGGGGTTTGTTGCATAGATTATTTTATCACCCAGGTATTAAGCCTGCTACCCAGTAGTTATTTGTTCTGCTCTTCTCTCTTTTCCCACCTCCCACACTCAATGTCTGTTGTTCCCTTCTTTGTGTTCATGCATTCTCCTCATTCAGCTCCCACTTATAAAAGTGAGGACATGTGGTATTTGGTTTTCTGTTCCTGTATTAGTTTGCTAAGGATAATAGCCTCCAGCTCCATCCACGTTTTGGAAACAGACATAATCTCATTGTTTTTATGGCTGCATAGTATTCCATGTGTATTTGTACCACATTTTCTTTATCCAGTCTGTCATTGATGGACATTTATGTTGATTTCATGTCTTGCTATTGTGAATAGTGCTGCAATGAACATTCACATGCATGTGTCTTTATGGTAGAATGATGAGAGCTTCTTTTCATGTGCTTGTTGGCCATATGATGCATCGTTTTAAGAGCTCCTTCTTTCTTTTTTTTTCTTCAGGAACTCGTATTGGCTTATTTACAAAACAAACTCTAATCTAACTGTATATTGTGCTGTTAAAGGCAGCCAGTTGATTTATAAAATAAAACCTGAACAGATATTGCACAGAATCTTGATGGAGGGGTGACCCTTACTTCTATTTGGCACCATAAACTGTAATGGTGTTTCTCAACTTTTTTAATTTAGTTTTTCTCATGATTACTAAAGTATTTTTACAAATTATTTTTGTGTGTGATTGATTACACAGCAATTATTTTTGATAATTTTCTTACTAAATTATAATTTTTGGGCTACTTTTTAAAGAAATTCCTGGAAAAGATAGTAGTAATTTAAAGATAATGAATATTTTCCAGCTTTTAAATTTGCAACAATAATTTTAGATTTATAGAAGAGCTACAGAGGTAGTATAGAGAGTTTGAATGATGATGCAGGTGACCCTAATAATAACATCTTATATAACCACAGCACAATTGCCAAAACAAATTAACATTGGTACATTACTATGAGTTAAACTAGACTCTGGCTTTTACTGTTTTTTTCATTAATATTCTTCTTCCACTCTAGGATCTAATCCAGAATCCTCAATGTGATATAATCGTGCATCCTTTGTAATTCTCCCATCTGTGACAGTTTCTCAGTCTTTCTTTCTCATTCATAACCTTAAGACTTTTAAAGGAGTACTAGTTAATTATTTTGTAAAAGGCCCCTTATATTGGGTTTGTCTGATGTTCTCTTATAATTAGATTTAGGCTATGCGTTACTGTAAAAAATATCACAGAAGTGAAATACTTCTCTTAATGCAACTTCCTTTGTAGGTACAAGATGTTGGTATATCATATTCTGCTTATGTTAAACTTGATCACTTGGTTAAGGTAGTGTATGCCATATTTGTTCAATGTAAAGTTACTATATTTTACCTTATAATTAATAAATATTTATTTTGAGGAAAACATGATGGATCTATGCAAGTATATACTTTATCCTTACACTTTTGTATATGAATTTTAGCATCCATTTGTGGATCTTGCCTGCTGCAATAATTAGCATGATGTTCAAGTGAAGATTTTCTATTTCCTTTATTCTATCTACATTTATTAATTTTTTTCTGTGAGAAAAAATGTGTCTTCTTGCAATTCATTTATTTATTTACTTATTTTTATATTCATTTGGACTCAAGGATATTTATATTATTATCTGGGTTTTAATCCAAAAGTATTATTTATTTTATTGAACAAATTTTTTCAACTTTGGAAATTAGGCACTGCTTTTGTGCCCTTTCACCATATCCACATCTTTTTTTATGTTTTTGTTCAAGTATGGCCTCATATTCTTGCATCTGAAGACTCTCTCGAATTCTTTTAATTGCTTAGGTGTAGTTAATTTAGAGACATATTAGTTCGTTTATCCATTAACCAATTGAATGAGACCTTAGTTGTTCTGAATGGTACCTACTTATTTGGTGTTATGAAGAAAATTGCTATAAATATTTAAAATAGGTTTAATGCAAATCTGTATTAATTTCCCTTGGGTAAATACATACTGGTGGGACTACTGGGACATATGGTAGGTACATGTCTTAATTGTATAAGAAATTGTTAAGCTGTTTTCCAAAAAATACCCATTTGCTTTTTCTACTAGCAAAGGATGAGTATTTAAGTAGCTTCACATACTTGCTAGCACTTGAAATTGTAAAGTTTTTTTGCTCCATTTTTACTCATAATTAGCCATTTTGAAAGGTATATAGTGGAATCTCACTGTGATTCTAATTTTCAATTCCCTAGTGACTAATAATGCTGAGGACATTTTTATATAATTACTTGCCATTCATACAACTTATTTAGTAAAATGTCTATCTTTGCTCATTTGTATCATTATAATGTCGGTTTTATCATGAAAAATATTCCTTATATATTCTGGAAACAAATTCTTTGTGGAAAATATAATCTGTATATACCTCTGGCGCATCTTTTATTATCATCTTAATAGTGCCTTTAACAAAGCAAACATTTTTAGTTTCTATAAAGTCTAATTTATCAATGCTTTTAGCATTGTATCTAAAAACTTTCTCCACCCAACGTAGCACATTTTCCGCTGTTTTTTTTTTTTTCCTCACAAGTTTTACAGCTTAACATTTTACATTTAAGTCTAGGATCCATCGTGAGTTAATTTCTACGTAAGATGTGAAGTAGGGGACAAGGTTCATGTTTTTGCAAATAGAGGAATTGTTCCCGCACAATTTTTGAAAAGACGATCCTTTCTCTATTTAATTGCCTTGACAACTTTATCAAAAATAAATTGATCAGATTTGTGTAAGTCAATTTCCAAAACCTATGTACATTTCATTCACCTATATGTCTAATCTTTTCACCAATACAACAGTGTCTTAATTATGAGCCTTATAAAAAGGTTCAAAATCTGGTAGAATTGGTCCTGTAATTTTGTGGGGGTTTTTTCTCGTAACTATTTAAGCTATTCTACTACCTTTAACTTTCCATGTATGTTTTAGGTTCAGTTTATCATATTAACAAGAAAGCATGCTGGAATTTTGATTGAGATTGACTTGAATCTATTGATCAAATTTGGAAGAATTGATATCTTAAAACTATTGCCTACCAATCAAAAAACACATATATTTCCCATTATATAATTTTTAATTTCTTGCATCAGAGCTTTCTTTCAACATGTAGTTCTTGCACATATTTTGTTAAGTTTAAACCAAAATATTTCTGTTTAATAGTATTTTTAAAAATTTGAAATTCTAATTGTTCATCGGTATTTTGTATAAATATATTTGATTTTTTACATGTCAACCTTTCATCCTGAAACCTTGCTGAACTCTATTACTAGACATACGAACTTCTAATAGCTGCTGAATAACGTAAAGTGTCCCTCCATGCATTTCTTTAACTCTAAACTACAAATATTGTTATGTTGTATTTTCATTATTGTTGAAATATTTTTAAATTTTTTCCTTAAGACTTTCTATTAGACCATTTAATTACTTAGGAGTGCATGCTTAATTTCCAAATATTTGGAGATTTCCCAGATATTTTTCTGCTAAAAATTTCCAGTTTAATTCTCATATTGTTTGGGAACATACTTAGTATTATTTCTATTTTTTTAATATGTTAATTTGTGTTTTTTTATTTATTTATTTTTTTTATTTTATTTTTTTTTTTTAATTTTTTTTTTTTTTTGAGACGGAGTCTCGCTCTGTCGCCCAGGCTGGAGTGCAGTGGCGGGATCTCCGCTCACTGCAAGCTCCGCCTCCCGGGTTCACGCCATTCTCCTGCCTCAGCCTCCCAAGTAGCTGGGACTACAGGCGCCCGCCACTACGCCCGGCTAATTTTTTGTATTTTTAGTAGAGACGGGGTTTCACCGTTTTAGCCAGGATGGTCTCGATCTCCTGACCTCGTGATCCGCCCGCCTCGGCCTCCCAAAGTGCTGGGATTACAAGCGTGAGCCACCGCGCCCGGCCGTGTTTTTTTATTTTTATGGCCTACAAAATGGCCTATCTCAGTGAATCTTCCATGTGAAGAGCAGAATATGTATTCTGCTGTTGTTGGGTACAAAGTGTTCTTTAAATGTCAATTTGTTAAAGTGGTTGATCGTGTTGTTCAGATCTTCTATAACCTTACTGATTTTCATTCTCCTTAGTATATTGATTATTAATAGTAGGAGAAGAGTCTCTATACTTTTGGATTTGTTGATTCTCCTTTCCACTTTTTGCTTTGTGTATTTTGAAGCTCTGTTGTTCGGTTCATACACATTTAGGACTATTAAGCCTTCTTGGAGAACTGACACCTTCATTATCATGTATTATCCTTTTTTACCTCTGATAACATTTGTATTAGTCAGAGTTCTGTAGGAGGACAGAACTAACAAGATAGATGTATATATAAAGGAGAGTTTATTAAGGACTATTAACTCACATGATCACAAGGTGCCACAATAAGCTGTCTGCAAGCTGAGAAGCAAGGAAGCCAGTCTGAGTCACAAAGTTGAAGAACTTGGAGTCTGATGTTCCAGGGCAGGAAGCGTCCAATACAGGAGAAAGATGTAGGCTAGGAGGCTAAGCCAGTCTAGCCTTTTCACGTTTTTCTGCCTGCTTTGTATCCTGGCTGTGCTGGCAGCTGATTAGATGGTGCTTACCCAGAATAAGGGTGGGTCTGCCTTTCCCAGCCCACTAACTCAAATGCTAATCTCCTTTGGCAACACCCTCACAGACACACTTAGGATCAATACTTTGCATCCTTCAGTCCAATCAAGTTGACACTCAGTATTAACCATCACAAAATTCCTAGTTCAGAAGTCTTTGTCTGATATGACTATATGACTTTGGCTTTTATTGGTTAGTGGTTGCATGGTACATGTTTTTTATATCTTGTTACTTTTAACTTATATATGTATTTATATTTAAAGTGGACTTTGTATAGATAACACGTCACTGGGTCTTGCTTTCTGTTCAGTAACAGTCTCTGTTTTTAACTGAATGCTTAGATCATTCACAAGGTTAGCCTACACATCTTGCACATAATTTGTTAGATTATGCACATAATATGTTAGAATACTACACTGAAGTATTTCATTTGTTTTGCTGTTATTGTAAATGAAAGTTTTTTTAATTTGAAATTCCAATTGTTCTTACTGGTTTTGTATATACCATGTAAGGTAGTGCTCACAGATACTTTTTTTTTTCTTTCATTTTTATCAAGTTGTTCGGCCTATGACCTTAGATCTCTGGTGGATTTAAAAATACTCATGAATTTGTAGTTTCTTTTGCTTTCTTGTCTCTTAGGTTTTGCTTTTTTATTTGAAGGGTGAGTGTATTTATTTGCTAGAGCTGCCATACAAAATATCACAGACTGAGTGGCTTAAACAACCGAAATGTATTTTCTCACAAATCTGTAGGTGGGAACTCTAAGGTCTAGGTGTGGGCAGGCCTCTTTGGGGGCCTCTCTTGTTGGCTTGCAGATGGTGACCTTCTCCTTGTGTCCTTACGTGGCTTTTTCTCTGTGCGCTCACTTTTCTGGTATCTCTGGGCAGGCTCACTTTTCTGGTGGTCTCTCTATGCACCCAAATTTCTTCTTCTTATAAGACCAGTGAGACTGGATTAGGGCCCACCTGTACAAACTCATTTTAACTTAATCACATCTTTAAAGGCCTTATCTCCAAATCCAGTCACATTTTGAGGTAGTGGGGATGAGGAAATTAACATGTAAATTTGAGGAGGACTGAATTTAGCTTAAACCAGTAGGAATGAGCCTCCTTCCAGATTCTACATCTCTAAGCAAAAATTGAATGCAGATTATGAATTATTTTAATGTTCTTGACACAGGCAACCAAATTTCTATTTAAAAATTCTGTATGCATTTTACTTCCATTACCAGCATAAACCAGTGTCCACTTATCTTATTTCCTATCATCAAATATATATAACATTTGTGCGTTTTCATTTCATGTCCTTAGAAGTGAAGAAAAAAATCACTCAGAATGCTGAATATATTAGGTAGCTTAAAATAATTCAAGCCTGGTTCATGCATGTAAGTAAAAGAGAAAAAGAGACATTTTATAGTTTTATTACACTTATGGGAGTAAGCCAAATTATTTCCTTAGTCTCACTAGTTAAATACAGCACATTTTTATTGCAAAGAGAATGTTAATATTTTTATGGAGCAAATTTAGAAACAAATACCAATGGGACATGAAATACTCTGTGGCTTTTCTTACAAGATTCTACACTGAATTGGACAAAGATATCTCCTTTAGGTAGTAAACATAGTTCCAGAGACTGTTTTTTATCTTCATTTTTCAGAATAATTTGATTTATCACCAGTCACATTTAGAGAACCATTTAAGAAGACTTTATAACTTGATTAAATCTGATTGTATCCTCATTTATCCTTGTACTTGTACCAAGGCAATTCCAAATTTATCAGACAGGAGGTTAATCACAGTGACTCATGGCAGTTTGTGGGGCAGGGCAGGGGGCAATATCATACAGCCACTTTAGTTTAAATTTTCCATAAGTTAATTCAATCATGAAAGAGTTATAAAACTTCAGGAATCCACAAGAAAACATTGAGAACATTTGTATGTTCACTAGCAATTTGATTCAGCAAGAAATTGCCAGAGAGGGAGAGAGAGGGAGCGAGGAAGTGAGGGACTAGGGACGGAGGGAGGGAGGGAGAGAGAGAGAGAATGAAAAAGGGGAAAATAAACCAAAGAAGCCACAGATGCTAAATGAATGCTCATAATAAAAATGTTAGAGTTAGAGACACCCCCAACCCCCCACCCCACACACAAAAAGCCAGAAGAGAATTCTTTAGGTTGACAAGTTTGAGAGTGAAGGAGGGTAATTAGGGAATTTCTGAGAAATTGAGAAAGGAATGGATAATGAAAGGTTTCTAGAACTTTTACTAATAGTGGTTAATTAAATCTCCTCTGATATTCTACAGGCGACTTTTACTACAGCTTTCCACTACTATTCAATTATTTGTATTTGCTTGACTTGTATTTACTGAAGTATAGGTGCGAGCAGAAAGTAAACCATGAGGCTGTTTGATTTTAAACCAGTTATTGTATGCATATTATTACATTTTTATCTTCTTACATGATTTTCTTATTGTTTTATGGAAACAAACCATTCTGCAGCAACACCAATGTTGTAAACTTCTTGAGCAAAGGAATTGTAATCTCTTTAGTGTCTGGTATAAAATCAAGAACAAATAATATCTCCCTAAAATATACTATATTAAATTGAACCAGCCGCTGATTCAAAATTCTGGGATATCAGGTAGCCTCCCAGGCCATGTTTTAGGATCTTAAATTGTTACAGATTCGTTTAACTTTGTTTCCTGAAAATATAACCAAAATTATTTGAACCAAACAAGGGTCTTCTATGTTTTATCTTTATTATATAATTATGGGGTTATTTATTTTAAAAAAAACCCATGCAAACATGTGTTTATTACACGTGACTGCATTTGGTTGTTACCACATGTTGTGAAACAGGCTGAAGTTTGGAAGGTATTATTTCCATTTTACAGTAAGACAAATAAGGTTCTAAAAGCAACGTTACTTGTTACTAGTGACAGGGCATAGCTGGGTTAACACCCAGGTATTTGCACGCAAGCCTATTTATTCCTAAAGCAGCATACTGCTTAAGTTTTTAATAATAAATTATAATCACTCTAGCTTTTTTGAAATTAAGAATCTAATATAGAATAAAATGTTTTATTAATGCATATATTGGAAAACAGTTTTAGATAATTTGAAACAATAGGCTAACAATATATTAGACATTAAATTAACTTCATTTTCAACATCATACATATAAAAATTATTATGTAACTTATTTAATTAGCCCATTGAATGTTAGAATTTAGCCCCACTCTTAGCAAAAACTAATATATAAACATGTGCCCATGAATAGTGGTATTAAAAATAACCCAAAAACAAAATAGATTTCTGAGCAAAATCAAATTCTACCCAATAATTTTTAAAGAATTATTGATGTAAAGCTTATAAGTAATGTTTAGCCTTAGTTCAAAATTAATGTTTCCTGGTGAAAAGATTACAGCGTCAATAATCTAGGACAAGAAGATGATGGGAAAGAAGTTCTGCAACCAGCTCCCTTAAAAGACAGCTCAGAGTTCACCATCAATAAAAAATGAGCTCATTCTTCAGCAAGTACAGTTTCACAGTCACATGTTCTGGGCTCTCATTTGTTGCAAGATGTAAAAAATATTTTATTCCTTTATCCTGGGAGCTTCATTGTCATTTTCTTTTTCTGGTTTCTTTGACACAACTCTAAGCCCAAAAGAGAATTGCCATACACACACACAAAGCCTTCCTTCACTAGATCATCATTACCATCAGTTTTAACTGAAAATAAGGTTTAAGTTTAAAATATATACACTATTTTTTCAACTCCCCAGTAGAGTCTGTCAAGGTCAGAACTGGCCAAACATTACAGTGGCCTCATTGTCTAATTGATGCCTGCAGGAATCTTTGCACGAAGTGGATGAGGGGATAATCATTGGTTACAATTTATAATACTCCATGGTCATATTTTATTAGTTTAATGGGCCTTTTCCAGGGTTTTCTTGGGATTTCTATATTTAAAGAGAAGACAGAGAAAAAGAAAAAATAATGAAAAAAAGGAGAAGGAGGAGAGGAGAAGGGAAAAGAGAAAGGTATTTTTGGCTTCCCAAATATAATTCAATCTTTCAGGCCATCATAGGACTAGATTTTCTTAATTAATGTTAGAATAGATAGGAGCTACAGCAATACACTCAGGAAACTTCACTTTCTTATTGCTTATTTTGAGCTCTGCAGTGGAATTCGAGTTAATTCAAAATTCACACCTGGCTTTGTTTTCCACTGCACTTTCTTAGGCTGGACTATCAGAATAATTGCTTCTTTTCTCCACCTCAGGTTAATATTATAGATCTGTTTTAAGGTCCTAGAGAGAATCTGACAGAATGAGAAAGCAATTATACTCTACCCAATTTCATGTTCCCCAGCAAATAGGTGTCCTTATGAGCCTTAAAGCAGGAAAAAAAGAGAATGAAGAATTCGCATGACAACTTACAATCCCCAGTGGCAAACCACAAAGTGAGATTATTACACTGGAAAGAAAGCATAGGCTACTCTTGGGAACATAAACTTTTTACCACTTCTAAGTTCTGAGAATTCAGGAGTAACCTTCATGAACACCGCTGAGTGCCCTAATGGGAATTTTATTTGATGGGAATGCTTGGAAGCCACTATGAGACTCTGTCAAAAACAGACTGATTCACAGTAAGAGGAGGATGAAAACTTTGCAAATTGAAGAATATTTGTTTTCTTTTTGTCCTTGTTCTATACTCAGCCTCTTTTGGGCTAGAAGAGTGTCACAGGCAAGGGGTGCAAAGATAAGAAAGACTCACGTGCATTCCCCTCCCCGCCCCCAGTGTGCTGAAAGTCTAGTAAGGGAAACATCCAGATGGCAATATGATATGATATATGCTTTGGTAGGGCTAAACAGTGTGTTACAGGTACGCTAAGAGGGATATGTCAGAGCCATTGAGAGAAAAGAGAGGTTTCCAGGTGGAGTTTACACCTAAGCCAAGTCCTAATAATTCAATATATCAGGCAAATGAGGGAGAGAAGGGTGTTCCAGGCATAGGAGCAATAAGAAAAGCCAGAAATATGCAAGAGAACATGTATTTTCTTGAAGAACCATCATTTATTGCTTCCCTTTTAATTTTTTAAAGATAAAATAAAAGGACTTTTTCAGCAGGAGAGCCTATCAGATGTTAAAATCATCTTAAAGTTAACCCTGCACATTCTGAGAGACAGAAGGGTTTGATGGGGAGAACCTGAGTGAGGTGGCTAAGCCTGCTGATAATAATAATAGTAAACTGCAAGTAATAGCTTGCATGCAATGAGTGCTTACTCCACTGTTGTTCAAATGCCTGAGAAATATTAAAATGAGCTGCTGAAATGAGCTTCAGTATCACCAGAGCATAGAGACCAAGTGCATAGAGTGGTATGGGATGAGGTTGAAATGTAGTGAGGTGTCAGATCAAGCAGAAACTTTATCTCATGGACAATGTGAAGCCATTAAAGGGGAGGATGGATAGACTTTAACTTCCAAATGACTATGACTGTGTGAGGCCATTTGGGTCACGGGAGGATGACAACAGCATGACAAACGTTTACCGACAGTTTACTATGTGCTGGATAATAAGAATAATAACTACAACTAACTTGCTGAGTGTTACCTACATGCCAGGCACTATTACATGCCCATTATATATGTTATTCCATTTAATCTTTTTCAAACTCCTTATAAAGTATACTATAATTATTTGATTTTACAGAAGAGGAAACAGAGGCACAAATAGGCTCAGCAAATTGTCAAGGTCAGATCAATTGCCCAGTTGTGGAACCTGGATATAAACTTAGATTTTCTGACTTCTGAGTACCTGTTATTATTCTCCATTCTGGTTATGTTTTATTTTGTTAGTTTTTAAGATGGTTGAGGCTTGACTTACCCAAATAATAAGGAACAAGGAAGTAATGTGAATATGATGACCACACTGAAAAAAGACAAAGTATCAATAGTACAATATTGCCTAGAAATAAGGAAGCATGGGGCTGGGCGCGGTGGCTCACGCCTGTAATCCCAGCACTTTCGGAGGCCTAGGTGGGCAGATTACCTGAGGTCAGGAGTCGAGACCAGCCTGGCCAACATGGTGAAACCCTGTCTCTAATAAAAATACAAAAATTAGCCGGACATGGTGGCGGGCGCCTGTAATCCCAGCTACTTGGCATGCTGAGGCAGGAAAATCACTTGAACCTGGGAGGCAGAGGTTGCAGTGAGCTGAGATCAAGCCACTATACTCCAGCTGGGAGACAGAGTGAGACTCTGTCTAACTAACTAACTAACTAACTAAATAAATAAATAAATAAAATAAAATAAAATAAGGAAGCATGGTTTATAAGTAGAAGGACTAAAGATGGATAGTAAGAAGCAGTTGTGCCTGGGTTCACTGTGGAAGATTTGCAACTGATGGCTCCCATTTTTTAAGGAAAATGTATGCTGACAAATGGTCAGTGTTTGGAAGAAAGTTCTAGAGATTTTGCCGTTGCTGTAAAATGTGAAGGGTGATGACTAGAGCAACATCAACAATTTTTTTTTTTTTTTTTTTTTAAGATGCAGTCTCACTCTTGTCGCCCAGGCTGGAGTGCAATGATGTGATCTCGGCTCACTGCAGCCTCCCCCTCCCAGGTTTAAGTGATTCTCCTGCCTCAGCCTCCCGAGTAGCTGGGATTACGGGCACTTGCCACCATGCCTGGCTAATTTTTGTATTTTTAGTAGAGACGGGGTTTCACCATGTTACCCAGTATGGTCCCGAACTCCTGATCTCAGGTGATCTGCTTGCCTCAGCCTCCCAACATAAGCAATTTTTTTGCCAATGGTAAGAGCTTGTTTGCAGTTGAAGATGATAAATTTAGGAAAGGAGTAATATAGATAAAACAGCCCAATGTTCATGAAGGATAACTGCACACAGAAATCACGGTTGAAGACCTAAGGGGAAATGACATGAGTTAGGAAATGTGGGCATCTCAGACTGTGAGTTAGAAAAATTCCAGGAAAGGAATGTCTTTTTTTGATAAAGGAGCACCTTTTCTCTAGGTCAGCAGAATTCCATGTGAATTCCTGCACTGTCATTCTCTCCACCCAAAGTCCAGAGGGAAGGGAAGAATGAGTGCTGCTATTTTAGAAGATACATTAAGTTTTTCACTGTCAGAAATAAAAGGACAAGCTAGAAAATTAAGGCTTAAAAATATTACCCTGTAGTATTACAAATTCTAGTGGAAAAATGTGTTCCCAACGCACCTTGAAAATTAGATTATGCTTATTTTTTTCTTACTCAAAACAACCTTACCATAATTGAAAATATGTGCTATACCTGAGGATTAAATAAAATAAAGGACAATTAATTATTTAAAAATATAAAGCATTGCACAGTTATAAAGTGATTATCACTATTATGTTAAGTTCTATTGTCTCTTTCTCTTATTAAAACACAAATAGATTAACAATTCTGAACTTGTCTTTAATCCTTCACTCTTCTGAGGGAGGCTTAAAAAGTCTAGTGTATTTTGATCATAATTTTGTTAAAAAAACATGCTGTTTATTCATTAGAGTGGTTAATTTTATATCATCCATGATACTTGGAGTCTATGGTGAAAAATGAAAACTCTAATTTCATAGCATATTTAGAAAAGATAAATTTAATAAGCTCAAAACTCATTAATAGAACACAACTCATCATGACTGTTATGACTATATTGAACCCATCACTGTCTACATGGTATCTCAAATAGCAAAAATAGATTTTTTTCAAACTGTGAACCCACAGAACAGAGGCTTGCCTTTTACCTTTAAAAAGACCTAACCCTGTGTCTTCTTTTCACTGGTAGTAATAAAAGGAATATAATTAACTCATGATATTTTACATTGTTATCTGGTTGGAACATAAATTCTACTAACAAATAGAAAATAATTTCAAAATAAAAATATCAACTACAGTCATGTGTCACTTAATGATGGGGCTACATTCTGGTAAATGCATTATTAGATAATTAAATCATTGTGTTAACATCATAAAGTGTACTTACACAAACCTAGATGGTGTTGCCTACTACATACCTAGGCTACATGGTATAACCTATTGCTCCTAGGCAACCAACATAGACAGCATGTTACTGTACTGAATACTGTAGGTAATTGTAACATAATGGTAAGTATTCATGTATCTAACATAGAAAAGGTAAACTATAGTAATATGCTCGTATGGGACTACTGTCAAATATGCAGTTTGTCAGCAATGAAATGTCTTTATGCAACACATGACTGTATTATAGTGGGATGAATAATGCCAGGTCCCCCAAAAATATTAAATCCTAATGATCAGGACCTACAAAAATGATACCTTATATGGCAAAAGAAACTTTGTAGCTGTGATTAAGTATTTTGAGATGGGGAAGGGAGGTTAGTCTGGATTTTCTACGTTGGCCTAATGATATAATCACAAGGGATTTTTATAAAAAGGAGACAAAGTCAAAGGCAGGGAAGGCAAAATGAAAGTCGAAGTAATGGGAAAGAAGGAAAGAGATGTGAAGCTGCTATGTTGCTGGCTTTGAAGATGAAGGAAGGGACTGTGAGCCAAGGGATGTCGCTGGTCTCTAGAAGGTGGAAATGACAAGGCAATGGATTCTTTCCTAGGACCTCCAAGGGGAATCAGCCCTGCTAACACCACATCTTTAGACTAGTGAGAATAATTTTAAACTTCTAACCTTCAGAACTGTAATTAAATTTTAAAAAAGTAAATAAGTCTGCATTGCTATAAGCCACTAAGAATGTGATAATTTGTTAGAGCAACAATAGAAGACTAATACAACTACCCTTTCATGTTGTACTCACCATCCGTATTCAGATCTGGGAAAAAATACCTAGGATCTACTTGGAGGAAAGAATCTTCCTTCCTCAGAGGAGAATAGATGGACTAGTACACAACAGTGAAATAAATTTGAGTGCCATAGCCCCATGGTGGTGTGATATGTACAAAGGAGTATAACATAGCAGCGATGGTTATACAGGCTCCCAAGTACACTGATCTGATCTTTACAAATCATATGAATATATTAAATTATGGCATGTGTCCCAAAACTCTGGATATCTATTATGCATCAATAAAAAGAAGGGAGGAAAGGGAAAAAAGGAAAAACAGAAAAGTAGCCTCTTAAATACCCTCATGTATCCTCTTCTAAAGTCTTCTGAGACCAAATATATTATCAAACTTTAGATGACATTTTTTCATATTGTATGATTTTTATAAATTAACTTACATTAAAGCAAAGCTGATGCTAAGGCTTTAAGTCTCACTGGCATAGCCTCTGCCTCCCGCCACCTACCAGCCTTTCTGCCCCTTAACTTGATTATAAATGCCTTGGTCAAGTGTGCCTTGCCTAGCACACATCTGTAGTGCAGTGGAACTGATTTGGGTATTAAAAATTCGTTCACTGTGGAAGGCAGTGTGGTGATTCCTCAAGGATCTAGAACCAGAAATACCATTTGACCCAGCAATCCCTTTACTAGGTACATGCCCAAAAGATTATAAATCATTCTACTATAAAGTCACATGTACACGTATGTTTATTGCAGCACCGTTCACAATAGCAAAATCTTGGAACCAACCCAAATGCCCATCAATGATAGACTGGATTAAGAAAATGTGGCACATATACACTACGGAATGCTAAGCAGCCATAAAAAAGGATGAGTTCATGCCCTTTGCAGGGACATGGATGAAGCTGGAATCCATCAGTCTCAGCAAAGGAACACAGGAACAGAAAACCAAACACTGCATGTTCTCACTCATAAGTGGGAGTTGAACAATGAGAACACCTGGACACAAGGAGGGGAACATCACACACCGGAGTCTGTCAGTGGGTGGGGGACTAGGGGAGGGATGGCATTAGGAGAAATACCTAATGTAGATGACGGGTTGATAGGTGCAGCAAACCACCATCGCATGTGTATACCTATGTAACAAACCTGCACGTTCTGCACATGTACCCCAGAATTTAAAGTATAATTTAAAAAATCTGATATCAAGCCATAGCTCTATTGCTACCTTTGAACAATTGTATTGATTCATCTGAGTTTCACTTTCCATTATCTCCAGAACAAGAGTGATAATGCCTACTTCAGAGATATATAAAAATTAAATGAGTTTATAGGTGATTGAATAACATGTAATCATTGTACTTAACAACATAATAATGCAATTTACATAATGATATAAATTTATCCACCTTTCATGCATTACATTACATGTCATTCCATCATCATAACGCCTCTGAAATGTCACTAAACAAATTGGACTGCTTTCTCAACTTAGCAGTTAAATAAACTAAAGTTCAAATGAATACTTTGTTCGAGAGCTAATAAATTGCAAAGTCCGGACTTGAATTAATATCTTCTCATTCCAAATACTAGGATCTCTGCCACTCAGGGCTGAGATAGACCCTTTCTTCTCCAAATAGGAAGAAGAGCAGAAAATCTTTCTAAAATATAGCATGCTCTGTGATGTTACAACCACATTCATAAGTTGAGACTAACATACCAGATCTGCAGTCACCACCGTCCTGAACAGTGGACATTTCAGGGAGGAGCAGGGAAACAAATAGAACATGAGATATAGGATTAGAAGTGCCTAGCATCAAGCCTAGCATAATAAGGTTTCTGTGATGGAAGAAGCTCGATTCAACGTAGAAATAAATGAAGATGCGCCCCCTACAATGTATCTGTTCCATTGAAGCCCCTGCCCTGGAAAGCAGCTCACTGTCCTATTTCCACAACCATGTTTGCTTCCACAATATTTTTAGTACCTCTAGGTTTTAATTTGGAATGGATTTTTAATTTAGTTTAACTAGGTTTTGAACACCTAATTAATACTTCAAGCACTTCTGTTTGGATCAGAATAAAGATCCCTACTAATAATATTTAATGAATATTTATGTCAATATTTCAAAAACGAGCTAGCAGGTTTACATAAATATTTGAGATGGCATCATTATTTTAACAAATGTGAATGGAGGCTGAAGAAGTAATACTATTTCCCAGCAGGTAGTTCTATCTAATAATGTGGATGGTAAATAGAATCCATTTGGAAAAATAAGGTTTCATGCTCTTTCTAATACAATTTCCACTTTTTGCTACTTTATCAGAGATTGGAGCCACCTAAACAAAAAACAAATTGCACCATTCATCGGATCTTTCTCTTTACTGTTCTCTCTTTTTTTATTTTTATAGATGTACAGCAGGTATCAGGGTCAGACGTGCATTTTTAAAACACTTATTAAGATGGAAACTGGCTGCTTTTTGACCTGCCTAATGCCTAACA
This sequence comes from Homo sapiens, assembly GCF_000001405.40. Taxonomy (NCBI): domain Eukaryota; kingdom Metazoa; phylum Chordata; class Mammalia; order Primates; family Hominidae; genus Homo; species Homo sapiens. The sequence goes on along the minus strand of NC_000011.10, from coordinate 104,297,677 downwards.
ATGCTGTCATTATCATTACTATAATCAAAAAGATTTCTCATTATTTAATATTCAGACATCATTATACCAAGTTCCGGAAATAAGAAAAAATAAGGGACCTAGTTTTTATTTACGTCCTCTCAACTAGTGTATATTCTCCATGAGAGTGAGAACTGCGCTTTACTCATTTATGTGTCTATTTTCACATTCTTCTGTCAGATTCAGACTAATCACTCTGGATTTTTTTTCCAGGAACAGATCTACAAAATTAAAATGATAATTGTAATGACCTTCTGGCAGATATTCCACTAGTGCCCATCATTATCATTATAACGGTTGTTTATTGCCAGCATCTATTCATCAAGGTCAATGTTCATGATGGATAAGTTGTTAAATATTTTAAATATCACTTCAACCTACTTCAAAAAACAGTGTTGTAAAAATTCAGTGGTGTAATGCATGTAAAACACAGAAAAGTCTTAGTATATGTTAATGGCAATGATGGTGCAGATGATGGGGATGGCGATGATTAAGCTGAGAAAAATGAACATGAAAGGAGAAATTACTAATCAAGTATGTTAATAACTAGATGAATAAGACAGTAACATTTTAGAAATTTAGAAAAGAGAGAAATTTGTGGAAACTGTTCTGAACTAAGAAATACTTATGGCCAGGAAAGGTAGCTCATGCCTGTAATCCCAGTACCTTAGGAGGCTGAGGTGGGTGGATCACCTGAGGTCAGGAGCTCAAGACCAGCCTGGCCAACATGATGAAACCCAATCTCTACTAAAAACACAAAAATTAGCCGGGCATGATGGCGGGTGCCTGTAATCTCAGCTACTTGGTAGGCTAGGCATGAGAATCACTTGAACCCAGGAGGTAAAGGTTGCAGTGAGTCAAGATTGCACCAGTGCACTCCAGCCTGGGTGACAGAGCGAGACTCTGTCTCAACAACAACAACAACAACAAAACATATGTGAGGCCAGGCTCAGTGGCTCACACCTGTAATCCCAGCACTTTGGGAAGCCAAGGCAGGCAGATCACCTGGGGTCAGGAGTTCGAGACCAGCCTGGCCAACATGGTGAAACTCTGTCTCTACTAAAAACACAAAAAAATTAGCCGGGAGTGATGGCACATGTCTGTTGCCCAGCTACTTGGGAGGCTGAGGCAGCAGAATTGCTTGAATCCAAGAGGCAGAAGTTGCAGTGAGCTGCGCCTGCCACTACACTCCCGCCTGGGCGACAGAGCAAGACTCTGTCTCAAGAAAAGATAAATAAAATAAAATAAAATACATGTGTGAGATAAACTTCATTCAGGAATGAGTTCTAGCACTGTTGGCCATGAGTTCAATATTAATACATCAATAATATATGTATATGTATATATATATATACACACACACACACGGTAAAGTACCTTTAAACATAAACACACATAAAATTATATATTTATTATTTGATGAACATGTTATGACTAGAGGCTTGCAGGACCCTAATGTTGTATTTCCCCTAGGATCAATAGTTTAGTATTCACTAATTCAATGTTTGCAGTGAGTTTATAGGATATAACTACCACAAATAATGATAATGAGAATCAATAGATAGATAGGTACCTAGATAGATAGATAGATAGATAGATAGATAGATAGATAGATAGATAGATAGATTGATTAGGTAAGGACAGATAGATACATAGATAGCTACATACATAAATACATAGATAGATAGATAGATAGATAGATAGATAGATAGATAGATAGGACAGACAGACAGATGTGGAAAGATAGAGATATTGAGTGATTTTTCCAAAGCAATCTGGGAAGAGGAGAAGGGAAGAAGATGTGCACTGAGAGAAGAAATGCCTCAGATATATCCTGAGTCTGGAGTAAGACCTGGCTTAGAATCCTGGTTTATATGTCAGATAAGAAATGCTGTTTATAGAGAACGAGTACATATATGTCTTTTACTATTGTAGCTTCTGAAAACATCAGTTTCCTCATTGAACACGTATTTATATAATACTGAACAGTATTTATATAATACTGATGAAGATGCATACTATAAAATCAAATTATTAAGATAAAATTTAAACTGTTCCGAACTTCCCTAGAATATAAACTATTATCCTCAAGGTATTAGTAAGCATATAATTGAAGAAAGCCACACTTTTAAACCTGCATTTAGGATCACTTGGGAGAAGAGCTATGGTTGATTAATGCTGTCTGCCAGGAGCATCGTTACAGGAAGTAGGATGCTGGCTACAGTCTCCTGTGTGATTGCCTACTGACTAATGTAGATATTAAGTCGGTCCAAAAATAATTGCAAAACCACAATTACTTTTGCACCAACCTAATATATATACTTCTAATATTATGTCCTTTGATCATGTGTGGAGAGAATTACAAGTCATTTAGCTTTGGAAATACTAAAATTAATTTTAATCCAGAAGTTTTCCAACTATTAGTTTCCAACTTAAAGTGTGTTGACAACATGGGACCAGAACCCACCTGGGAAGCTGGCATAGCCTCCATATAGCAAACCAAATGATTATACAGACACAAGTAGGATTTACAAATTAAGCACAACGTAACAAGAAGGAGGAAAGTAGACATCTAGGGAGCTGCTGCTATGTGTCAATTTGACTGTTATTTCATTGTGCAGTTTTGGGAATCTGTGTTTATGAGGTGAGACCCCAAAGCAGCTGGCTGAGATATGGGACTAATTAGGCTAAGCAGTAGGAATGACAAAAACAAAATCAGTACCCAGGCCCCAGGCTCTGTTCTGAGCCTCTGGGAATAGTTCCTGTCCTAGCAGGGGACTTTTTTAGGGATCAGTAGTTACCTGGTCAAAGCTAAAAGGTGGAACAGAGGTAATTTTACCATGACACTAACTGAGCTTTTGCTTCAGGAACCCTCACTTTCATGATTTTTCTTTCAATGCCCTTGGAGAGCCCAAGCAAGGTGTTCACATTGTCATGTTGTTTAGTGAAATTTGCCAGAGTAAGATGTTTCTGCAGATGGGACCACTATCTCTTTGTAATGCCCCTTCCTCTTTATAAGTCACTCATATCCAATGGCTTTGGAGTAACTGTGAGTAATTTTGTAACCCTGCCAAAAGGAAGTTAAGTTAGGTATACATTTAATTAGGATTTAGTGAGAGGAGTATGCAGTTTTCAGTCTCTACCCTGAAGTGGTTCATAGCCGGATGTAGGTTTGGCTTCTTGAAATATTCTTATCATTGCAGGCCAGTGTATTTGAAATTCTGACACAAAGATAAATGGCCAGAGACTATATCTGAATAAATGTTTTTAAAACTTGACAATAATCCTAAATATGTATATTACTAATAAGCCATGAAGAAATAAATGTTTCCAAATGATTAATAATAAACACAGATTTCACTCAATTATGGAAAGACTGAATTCTCTATTATCTACAGAAATGGTATCACAATATTATTGTGAATAGTTATTCAAAAAATATAGAGCCAAATAATGTACAAAAAAAATTTGTTGTCAAAATTTCCTGTCAGGTAGTTAACTAGTATAACAATAATTTCATTAGACTTGAATTGTGTGGTTTGTGGCTTTTATCAGCTTTGTAAGCTTGTAATTTTGTATTTATTTTTCATGCTAAATATTTCATTCCATGCCTCAATAAGACAAAGGTAGGATGGGAGCAGGTTGCTTCTAGATCTGGCTGTAAATAAGCTTGGTCTGAGTGATCAATGAAACTTGCAGTGAATCTAGCTTCAAGGAGCTGGGAAATGTAGGAACAGGAGAAACAGAAAAAGAATAAAGCAGTGCCCGGCCAAGCAAACCAGAAGAAATATGCCTCAGGGTAATACTATTTGAGGCATTATTCAGGCATAATTAGAAGGCAATATGTCACTCCTCAATTTATTTATGCGTCTATTTAGTGGAAGAAAATGTTATTGCTTATAACTTTGTTTCCTAGTAAATTAGAGTCTTAGAACAATAGAAAGCATAACTTCTTAAAGATCAAATACTTCAAGAACTTTTTGAAATGAGTAAACTAAGGCCTACGACTTCAAATTAATATTCTGAGTTTGCTTAGGAGCAGAATGCACTATTTAACTGTTTTTTTTTAATGTGAATCTTCTACAAATTGATGTTTTATGAAAGCTGCCTGGGAAATGAATTTATACCAGTGAAAGCACTTCATATTAATCAAGGGACTCAAGACATAGCAAGAAAACAGTAGCATTTTATTTTTAAGTGGATGCAAAAAGCTTCCTAAGTCCCTCTCAGCATCAGATTACAAGAGAACATGATGTAATAGTCTGTACATATAATCTTTATCATGAGGAACTAAAGATGAGCTAAAACCCAAAGAAAGCCCTTAAAAAATTTCTACCTTAATTTTGAGGGATCAAAATAATTATATAATCAATGATTATATCAATTATTTTACAGATCTGCATTAACTTCAGTAAAGCAAAATGCTCACCCCATTTTCTTAAAGTCACTTAATATTTTACTTGGGTAGTAGCTACTCACAGGCATGAAATCTAATATTTCAATGTAAAATCTGGAAAATGTCTTTGTATTTTTGGCAAGGCTTCATAATTCAGGAATTAACTCATAGTTGTCAAGATATCACTGCTGCAATGGCCCAAATATTCAGATCAACCATTTTGTGGTTTTTCCCCTTTCATCCTAACAGTCTGACTGTGCCAGAAAATTGCACTCTTATTTATTGATTAAATTCTATGTACCAAGTACAGTGCTACATTTAATATTCACAATCTCATATAATTTCTTCCAGGTATTATTTTCTCAATTTTACAGGTGAGAACACAGCTTCATAAAGATTAAATAACCAGGCCAAGGTCACATAGACAATATCTATCAGGGCCAGGGTAGGGGATAAAGCTTGCTCTTTTCCAAAACCTACTTTGTATGGCAGCAGCAATGAAATGGCTACCTCTTTGTCCTCAAAGGGTGACTGAATGAAGAGGAGCTGGGCTTGAGCCTGAGTTAGGCTTCTCACTAGACATTAACATAGCCTCTTAGAGAATCACTGTGACTTTTGATAGAAAAAATATATATATAAGTTAACTGGAGCAGAGATAATCCTCATAACTAGACAAAAAATGACTAGACAAAAAATGACTATCAATTGAATCACATTCATGCAGATAACTTGATTTAAACATTCCCCATACAAGAGAACTGGCCATCTTGTGCAAGGTCAAAGACACTCTGTGAGAATGATTCCCAAAGCTAAATCTCTAATCCTGGTGTCTCTCCTAAATTTTAGAATCTTGTTGTTATACCTTTTTCTAGATATTTGCATCTAGATAGTCTATCTTTAAGAGAATATATTAATTCATATTTAAATGTATTCAGTTAATATTGTTTCAAGTCCTAGCCATAGAAACCTGTGTATGCCTCATTGTACTGGAAGGCTTGGGAATGTAAGCAAGCAAACAACCATAAATGTGATGTTCATGAAGATATTGAGCTCCTTAAAAATGGATCTTATCATGACTTTTCTATTTTTTGTTAGTAAAATATGCATGTATTCTTTGATACGGATTTTACATTTCACCGTCAAAGCAGACTTCCCTCTTGTAGCAGATTGCATTGTCTGAAGATGGCAGTGATGTAATCTTTCATTCTCTATGTTCTTTCATAATTTTGTCACACTCCTAGAGTCTAATTTCCCTCCCTTTGAATCAGGAAATGTTTGGGATTCACTTGTAATCAACAGAATGCAGCAAAAGTTACACTAGACAATATCTTAAGCTAGATTAGAAAGGTTGACACAGATTCCATTTTACTCACTAAAACCCTTTTTCTGGAGCCCTGAGCCATGATATAAACATTCAACTGCTCTGAAGCTGTCATTCTATGAAGTTGCCCAATCTACCCTGTACAGATAGACTACGTGCTGAATCCCTAAGGCCATAAGGAGAAAGGGAGTGAGAGAGAGAGGGAGAGAGAGAGGTCCAGCTGGTCCTGCTCCCCACAGTTCAGCTCCCACTACCTCCTGGCAGCAATCCGAGTAGATCCCAGCTAGAACCACCCAAGCAAGCCTTTCCAAATTCCCGATTCGCATAAACTATGAAAGATAATAAAATGATTTTTGTTTTGAGTCACTACATTTTGGGATAATATGTTATGCAACAATAGTAACCAGAACACCTGGTGATTGATTGCTGCTGATGCCCATTAGTTAGCCTTCATGTCTCCAGGCTCTCTCACTTCCAGTATACATACTACCCACCACCTACACTTATCCTGTCCATTTCCAGAAATTTTCCATGACTCAAATTATTGAAAAGTTAATAAGAGAACTCCTTATACTACCAATTTATGTCAATCCTAATCTGGATCTATCTTTTTTCCATTTCTTGTACACAGGCCTGCTAGAGACCCAAGTTGAAATAAAACTTTTGCCTTACACTTTGGAGACTTTCTCTTCAATGTGAATTTACCGGGGTGTTTCCTTTGTTCTAGGACAGTGTTCCTCCCATATCTTTTCCTACATATATACACATTCTACCCACCCATTCTGGTCCAGCTTGAATTTCACCTTTTAAACGAAAGCTTTTGTAATTCCTTCAAAAAGAAAGGATCCTCTCCAAAACTCGGCATATACATCTCTTTTTGTGCTGTCATATTTTCATGTAACTGTGCACACATTTCTTCTATCTGTGAAATTTTAAGCTCCTTGACATCAAAGTTTTCATATTTTTCCTTTTGACCTTTTTGAATCTGTATAGATTCAGATCTTCCCAAGTTTGAAATTCAGTTTATGTTTCTACAAAGAATACATTACTACAATATGTTCATTTATAATCTTTCCTGTTCCTAAATAGAATTGAGGCAGTTTTAAAAGATGCATGCAAGGTAATAAGATAAATATATTTAAAATAAGTACGTAACAAACCTGCACGTTGTGCACATGTACCCTAAAACTTAAAGTATAATAAAAAAAAGATTAATGTGTCAGGGTAACTTAAAATACTCTGGGAACAGGAAGTAAGCTACAAAACTTGGAGTAAACATCTTTAAAATTTTTAATTAATATAAATCATTATCAAAATTTATATATAGCTTTGCTAAGGGCAACAATTTCAAAACTTTAAGATTACTAGAATCTACCCTAAAAAAAAAATAAAAAAAATTAAGTAAGAAAATGAAGCAAAGGTCAATTAAGAATTTTAAGAATGTAAAATGGAAATACAGTAGGAAGAATTCCACAGTGGCTCCAAGATTGTCAGCCCCTGGAGTACATACCTTCTCCCATATGTGGCAGACTAACGCTGAAGGCGCTGCTCTGAAGGGACTTTTTTCTGGCATAATCAAAGCTCCTAACCAGCTGATTTAACTTGGGAAGATTATATTGGACAAGCCTGACCTAATCAGGTGATTCCTTAGAAGAAAAGAGAAAGATCAGATGCAGCAAAGATTCTCCTACTGGCTGAAATAGCAAACAACCATGTTGTGTAAACTGTCTACGAAGAGAACCATGTGCCAAAGGAACTCCAGGTGGCCTATAGAAGTTGAGGACCTCAGTCCTACAACCACGGGGAATAAATCCTGTGGACAACCTGAATGAGCTTGGAAGTGGATTCGTCCTCAGGAAAGCCTCCAGATGAGAATGCAGCCTGGCTGCCAGCTTCGTTACAGCTAGTGAGACCCTGAGCAGTAGAAACAGGTAAGCCATGTCTAGACTTATGACCCACAGAAACTATGAAATAATAAATGTGTGTCTGTCTAAGCCACTAAATGTGGTAATTTGTTACATGATGATAGATAACTACCATAGAAACCAAGAGTGAGATTAGTGCCCAAATATCATGCCATGAAGTCCCACCGAGGTAGGCCAGACAAATTTGGACCTAAGTTTCCAAAAGGCAATGTTAAGCGGGTGAGACAATTGAGATTTTAGACCCGGAAGGTTCGTGAAATTATTTTAGAACTATGGAAAATACTATTCTCATTTGCAGTTGCGGGGGTAAGAACCTGCTAGAGGTTTCCACACCCTAAGGATCTTTACCTTAGGATATCTCTCAAGACTCTACCTTCAGACTCCCCTCTCAGCCCCTTGCCCGTCCTCTGTCTCAGATTCTGTGCTTTGGATTTGGTCCCAGCTCTATAATTTTCCCCCATCCCTCTCTAACCCATTTCATCTTCACCTTTTAGTTCTCCCTAACTCCTAGGCCAGAGGCTTCATCTTCCATTGGGTACAGTATAGCTTTGCCTTGGTCAAAACTCAGCCCTCATTTTACGAGTCCCTGCCCAGATCTGCCCTCCCAGACAGCAAGGCTGGTATAGCTAAGGTCCCTGATTTGGCCCTTTTATTTCTTCCATAATAGGTATATCCTTTTCTGATAGCATACATTGTGTTAACATGAGAACAAAAATGACAATGCTGATTGAATTCAGTACCAATCTGTGCAGATGTTCAGACACTTCCCTATGGGGCTAGAGTTTTATAGTCAGGATCGAAAGGGTCCCTCCAGGCCTTGTCCTGGCCTTCATTTAAGCTGATTCTGCTTCATGTTGAATTGGATGGTCACTTTATGATGGAATCAAATGGCTTCTTTAAAAACTGAACAGGTGCTATATTACAAGCCAGCAGAAACCATTCCCATGAATTGTGGTAATAGGCAAGCTGCAATGTCACTCCAAAATCAGTAATATAACAAGGTTTGCAGAGAAATCAAGCTCTGCTTGTCCCCTAAAACTAGATGAAGTGGGAATAGGAAAAGGAAATTAGTCTGTACATTTTCTACTCCCATTAGTCTAGGGACTACCTCTATGCCCGGGAATAGATTGGACTTTAAGGTCAAAGTAGCCAATTAGTTGGTGTACTTTAGAACAATGTGCATTTATTGGAATATAAACATTGTTTACAAAGTTTTTCTTTTTCTATAGTCCCCATGGGCAGGAACTCCTAAAATAAGGGCTGAGTTTTGACCATTTTGGCAGAACCCAAATCAGAACATATTGCCATGAACAACATTTACATTTTGGCAACCGTTACACTCTTCTTACGCTATTATTTCTAATATAATTGTAAATGTCTGTTTTTATCTTTGTGAAGCAAGTTATTAGTGCCGACTCCTCATAGTCTTCCTGAGTTATTCCCACTCCTCTTCACGGGCAGCAAAGCCCCAGCTAGCTAAAAGTAATCAATTAGCATGTTTTATTTATTTAAATTCATAGCAGCATATAAATATGTATCACTGTGGTTGTAAGCCCTCAAGATGTAAAAGGAGTCAACAGTCCTGCCCACAATGAGCTTACAGTATAGTGGAGAGGACAACTAAAAATGCTAGTATGGCAAATGCTTTTAGTGCTGGTTCCCATTCCTGAATAAGTTACAACCACCTATGGAGCTTCTAAATAATATTCTTGCTCTGTTCCTACTCCTCAGAGTCTGTCTGGGGTGGAAGACAAACATTGGAAGTGTTTTAAAGTTCCCCAGAAGATTTTAATGCGTAGCCAAGGGCTGGAAACCACTACCTTAAAGGATACATTTGCCAGGTGCTCTAATAGTAAGCTACTAACGTTTCCTGTTGAAGATAAATAATATTGTTAGAACTTGAGTTTAAATTTAAAGGATGCATAAAGCTTCTCTAGGTAAGAAAGTGGGCAGAGGAGGTTTGGAAGGCTTTTGAAGCAGGGTTAGCCTGCAGGGTAAAATGTGGTTGATGCTAACTTCTTACTATCTCCCTAACATATCCGTGTATATTAATCTCCACTGCCTCCACCTGAATGCAGACCACCTTTCCTCTTTACCTTGCAAGAATCGACCAGTTTTCTACTTCATTTCTGCTTAAGCACTCTTTCCCTCTTTAAACCCATTGCTCCCACTATAGTGAAAAAGATTGTCTTATAACAGAAATCAGTTGCCTTCCTCTGATTCAGATCTTTCAGTGGCTTCATAATGATCCTAAAGTCCAAAATATTTAACCTAACAGATAAGACTCTATATAATTTAGCCCTGAACTTCCTCCAGCCTCACCTTAAGCTTCCTTTGCAGACTCAGTCTTGTTTATGCCAGCTTTGCTCCCGTCCCTGTGTAAACTAACCTTCCTCCTTTCCCATTGGCTTTGCAGAGATGATTACTCCTCTTAGCACACTATCCCAATGCTGCCTCTCAGTCCACCCTATGACCTAGAAAATTCTACTCATGCTTAGGTCTCAAATACCCCTTCCACATAGGTTTCCCCAATGTCTCTTCCAATTAAGTTGGGGGTTCTGGTTATACGTCTCCATGGCCAGCGCTCCTCTCCTTTTTAACCTGCATCTTCAGGAATCAGATGCATCTGTCTTGCCAGATTATAACCTTTGTGAGGACAGAGAGGATTAATTTCCAATTTCTTTGTGTATCATTAATCTTTTGTACAGTGCCTGGTACTTTGTAGATGATTGGCAAATAATAGTTGAATAAGTTGACTGAATGAATATCACACACTCAAAAAGGACAATCTAACCTACTTTACCTCTCCAATAGTTTGTATTTCCACATAGATTGAAATTTGGGCATGATATGTGGCTAGAATGTAGGATGAAGCTTTACCTATCCACACAGCTTTCTTCTTCTTCCTTTGCTTCCTCTTTCTCTCTTTTCTATTTGTTCTCGAGAGTTTAGCTTTTTGTACCAATATCTGCATTTAAGCAGAGGAACTAATAGATAATCTTTATTCACAAGAATATTATTTTAATATATTATTTCAATTATTAGAAAGGGAAGGAGAAGCTGAATATTTTATAGGTAGCTACAATATTCCTAGGGTGTACAGTTAATCATTTAATATTTATTCTTTCACAATAATTTTCCCATTTTTCAGATGAAGGAACTGAGACTATGAAAGATCATTACTTCCCCAAAGTCTCACAACTAATAATAGAACTACCAGAGTAATGACCAAGAACTACATAACTCCGCATCTCCTGCTTTGTCCACTACTCCATCAGATTTGTAACAAAGAGGTAAGTCATTTTCAATGCACCTTCAACCCACTCACATGAGCAGCAATCCGAGGTGTCTTAATTTTATATTGTTTCTTGCATGGTCGATTTCAGGGGTATGTAATATGTTTCTGTTAATTATATCTACAAGGAAAAAAGATTATGCACATTATCAATTCCTGTCTCTTGTCTCATAACCTTTTTAAAATTGCATTCATTCATCCATTCAATAAACGTCTGGTGCTGGAAATAAACCTTTGAATTGCTTTCAGAAAATTAATATTATTAATCATGAAGACATTTTCCTAAGATTTTGAATTTGGTTATACTTCATTTCTTTCTGAGCTTTGGAATTAAATTCCATTATGCAATACCTAGAATACAGTTGTGTAATTCTTGCATGTGGATAAAATGGAACAGACCAAGCCAGCATCTGGGCTGTGGGGAATGGAGAAGTAAGCTTAAAAAGTGTACCCTGATTCTCAAAGTAGATAAACTATACCAGACTACATCACAATGGTCATTATAGGCTAAGTGCAAACTCTTTTAATACTAGTCTAATTAAACCCATATGTTCCCAGATAGTAACACAGAAAAACTGATCTAACATTAATTCCGTGTACATCCACACATTTTAAAGACCATTGATTGTTCTAGCAACTCTGTAGTTTTCAAATCCAAACAATCACTGCCAAGACCAACCTAGGACTAATTCCAGTTGACCTCTTCCTTCTTTTTTCTCTTTCCTCACAAACCATATAAGTGAGTTTAATTATTAGTTAGTTCTTATGTTTATTGCCAAATTGTATTGCTTATTATATCTTACCATGACAAAGCTTTAACTAAAAAAGAAAGGCTACAAAGACAAATATCTTTGAAAGACAATAACTAACTAGACAATTCTTTCTAAAATTACTGTGTTCAACTGTTATTATCTAGGCTCAAACCAGAACAGGGTGTCACCTATGTGAATCTGCAGAAATTGCTCAAGCAAACAAAGTATTTCTTTAGGGTAGCTGTTGGCAACATAGCCAAAGAGCGAATCTTGATTTAGAAGAAATGGGGAATAAAAGTCAATTTTATAAAATTGATAACGTAGGTTAAAAGAAGCAATAGGAAGGGTAAAAAAATAAGAAATTAAAGGGGCTGGAAGTGCAAGATAAGTCAGGGAAAGTGGTTCAAGATATAAATTGTGAACAATTTGATTGCTTTAAAACTTCCTTTTGCACTTCTACTATTAGCCATGATGAAGTAACTGTTCCTCCGACTATAAACAATTATACTAACGGACCAAGTATATAAAGTAAATATTTTCAGATGTTTTACAGCATAGAGTGCAGAATGGTAATCTTAGAAAGAAGTGGGGGGAAAAGAAAATCAAAGTAAGTTCCATGATCGCTCCTGCTTTTTGTCTGGAACCACTTTCCACACTAATATCTATGGAAGGATAGTTTAAATATAATGTAGTGGTCTCATTGACCTCATACAACAGAAATGAGAGTTTTCGGATCTTGGAGGGCCTAGAATTTATGGGGCAGAGTACCAGAGAGAAGAGAGCTGTGTAGAAAATGAGTTGCGGGAATCTTCACAGGATGTCTCCTTGAGTTTTTAGTCAAACACTAAAATATACATCCTAAAAGAAAGACTTAAGAATAAGCAAAAAACAACTACCTGAAAAAGAACACAAAAGACAATATAAGATTCTACAAAAGTTTGCACAGATCAGGCAGATGTTTGTGTCCTAAACAGTCAGAAGAGGCTTTATTGAACAATCCAAGCATTTAGTAAAAACCACAAAAAGCACCGTTGGAAGAATGTCTAATTTAGACTTATGGCAAATCTGACCGTAGATCTATTCTATCACAGGTAAAAAAAATAGCCTCAGAAAGATTCAGTTTGTCTTCAAGTAAATTATCTGCCTATCTGATCTTAACATCCTTGTTTAAAAATCCAAAAATAGAAGTAAGGCAGCTTTTAAAAGATTTGTTGCAATATAGGAAGATAAGTGTATTTAAAATAAGTGAGAAAAAATTGGATATATACATATTAACTTTAATTTCTCACAGCATATAGAAAAAGTAATTTAAAATGGATCCTAGATCTAAATGTAAAACTTAAAATTATTAAAATTCTAGAATAAAATATAGGAGGAATCTTTGTGACCTTGGGTTAAACAAAGATTTCTTAACTATAACAGCAAAATCATTATCAGTAAGACAAAAACAATAGATAAATTATGGTTAATTAAAATTAGAAACTGCTATTCTTCAAAGACACTGCTAATAAGCAAGACATAGAACATATTCAAAAGTATCTGATATACAATGTGTATCTAGAATACATAAAACTCAAATAATTCAATACAAATAGGCAAAATGACAACCCTATGCTCACAAAGTTCATAATTTTGATAAAGTAGAACAATTCCTTGAAAGACACCAACTGCCAAAACTCTCACAAGAAGAAACAGACAATCCAAATAGCCCTATATATATTAAGTAGAGTCTATAGTATAACCTTTTGAAACAGAAAGCACCAACCCCAGATGGGTTCACTGTTGAATACTACCAAATATTTAAGGAAAAAAATGTGCTAATTCTCTACAATCTCAGAGATTTGAAGCAAAGGGGATAATTCTTAGTCCTATGAGAAATACTTCCTCATCATATGCAGCCAGCATTACTCAAACCTAAGCAAAGATATTACAAGAAAATGAAACTGCAAACTAATACCTCTCATAAACATAGATGCAAAACCCTTCAACAAAATATTAGCAAATGAAATCAAACAATCTTTGCAAAGAATTATACATGATGACCAAATGGGAATTATCCCAGTTATACAAGGCTAGTTCAACACCAGAAAGTCAATTATGTAATCCATCACATCAACAGCTCACAGAAGAAAAACTGCACGATCATGTCAAAGCATTTGAGACCATACAACACCCACTCATGATTTAAAAAAAAATAGAACTCAAGATAAACTAGGAATAAAACTAGGAATAAAAACCTCAACTTGATAAAGAATAGCTACAAAAACCTGCAGTAAAAATTATACATAATGATGAGAAATTTCACTTTCCCACTAAAATTAAGAATACGGAAAATGTCTCCTCTTACTAATGCTCTTCAAAATTGTTCTAGAAGGCATATCTAATACAAAAGGACAAGAAAGCAGAATAAAAGGTATACATATTGAGAAGGAAGAAACACTGATGATGAAAGAAATCAAATAACTACATTAACATAAAGCTATCCCATGTTCATGGGAAGGAAAGCTCAATACTGTCAAGATATCAGTTCTTATCAACATTATCTATATTTTCAATGAAATCCCAATCAAAATTTCAGCAAGTTATTATAATTTGTGGGTTTTGACAAACTAATTCTAAACTTTACGGAGAGACAAAAGATTGAGAATAGTCAGCACAATATTCAAGCAGAAGAATAAACATGGAGGATGACACTGCCTAACTTCATGTATTTAATTAACATGAGTACTATAGCCATTGTGAAAAACGATATGAAGGTTCTTCAAAAAACTAAAAGGAGAACTAGCATGTCATCCAGGAATTCCACTTCTGGGTGTATGTCCAAAGGAATTGAAATCATAATGTCAAAGGGCTATGTTTACTCCCATGTTCATTGTAGCATTATTCACAAGAGCCAAGATGTGGAATCAACCTAAATGTTTATAACAGATGAAATGATTTTAAAATGTGGTATATATACACACACAATGGAAATCTTTTCAATCTTGGAGAAAGAATGAAATATTGTCCTTTGAAACAACATGGATGAACCTGCTGGACAGTATGGTAAATGAAATAAGCCAAGCACAGAAAGACAAATACCTCATGATTTCACTTAAATTTAGAATCTAACAAAGTTGAACCAGTAGATGTAGAGAGCAGAATAATGGTTACCAGAGGATGGCAGGGGTAATGGAGGGAATAAGGAGGTGTTGGTCAAAGGGTACAAAGTTTCAGATTTACAGAGTAAGTAAGTTTTGAGATCTATTGATAGCAGGGTGGCTAAAGTCAATAACAATGTATTATATATTTCAAAATAGCAAAGAGTAAATTTCAAAATGTCTCATCAGAAAATGATATGTAAGCAAGGTGGTAGATATGTTAATTAACTTGACTTAATTATTCTACATTGCATACATTTATCAAAAAATCACATTGTATCTCATAAATGTATACAATTAAAATTTCTCAATTAAAACATTTAAAAAAGCTTTTTTAAAAAAATTAGTGTTTGCTAAGAATTAGGGGAAGGGAAGGATGAATAGGCAGAGCACAAAGGATTTTTGTAGTAGGGCAACTACTCTGTATGATACTATAATGGTGGATACATAGCATAAGTTTGTACAATCCCATATAGTGTACAACTCCAAGAGTGAACCCTAATATCAACTATGGACTTTGGTAATTATGATGTGTCAATTGTAATCTCATCAATTGTAAGAACGTACCACTCTGGTGGAGGATGTTGATAATGGAGGAGGCTGTGCATGTGTAGGGCAGATGATATGTGGGAACTGTGTACGTTTGCTGTGAATCTAAAATTGCTCTAAAAAGTAAGGTTCTTTAAAAAAAAACCAGCTGACTCATGCAGGGGCTAAACTCCCTCCCTCACAAAATGGGCAGAAGATGTGAATAAGCACTTCACCAAAAAGTCTAGAGAGGCTGCAAATAAGCAAAAGAAAAGATGCTCACCATCATCTGGGAAATGTAAATTCAAGCCATAAGCTAATACACCACCACACAACCATAATCCTGAGGCTAAAATGGAAAAGACTCCTCACACCAAGTGTCAACAAGGATGTAGAACATCAGTAATTCGCACATACTAGTTGGAAAATTAAGTTGTATAACCACTTCAGAAAACCATTTGGCATTTTCTTATCATCTTAAATATATATCTAGCATATTGATTTCATGTACCATGTGTTCTAGCCAGTCCACTTCAAGATCTTTATTCAAAATAAAAGCACATGCCCATTCAAAGACTTGTGTACATATTTTTATAACAGCTTTATTTGTCATAACCAAATACTGGAAACAACCCAAATATATATCCACAGGTGAATGGATAAATAAATTGCGGTATAACCATACATTGGAATACTATTCAGCAATAAAGGGAATCTATTGTTCATGCTACAATATGGATGATCTCAAAATAACTATAATGAGTAAGAGAAGCCAGACAAAAAGTAGTGCATTCTGTATAATAACATTGATATGAAATTCTAAAAAATGCAAAGTAATCTCAAATTACAGAAAATATATCACTATTTGCCTAGTGATTCAGGAGACATTAACTTTGAAATCGATGCATATTTTCATTGTTTTTATTTTAGTGAAGACTTACAGCTGTGCACATATTTAAAACTTAACCAAATTCAACATTTCTATTATCTGCATTGTATCATATGTTAACTGGACTTCAATAAAGCCATTAAAAATAAACCAAAAATAATGTGTTCTATAATATAAATAAATTAGAAATAAGAGTAATATATATAACTTTAAATAATAAATATTATTATCCAATTTAAAATATTGTTCTAATTTCCATCGTGATTTTTAAATTAACCCATGGAATTTTGAAGGCTTAAGTTTAATTCTTTAAAGTCAAGTTTAAAGAATTCCTTAAACTGAAGCCTTTAAAAATTTATTTAAACGTGACTTTAAAGAATTAAACTCAAGCCTTTGAAAATCCATGGGTTTATTTAAAGATCACCATGGAAATTAGAACAATATTTTAAATTGAATAATAATGAGTATACAACATATCCAAATCATTTGCAGCAATAGCAGTGCTTAGAAGAGAAGTTGTAGCATTATGCTTGTTATGAGTTGAGTTGCTTCCCCAACAGATTCACATGTTGACATACTAAACCTCAGTACTCAGGGTGCGACCTTATTTGAAAATAGGGCCCTGCAGATGTAATCAGTTAATAGATGTAACCAGTTAATAGACTGGAACAGATTGGGTTCTTGTTTATTATAACTGGTATTCTTATAATAAAAAGTGGAAATTTGGACACAGGCACATTCATAGGAAGAATGCCATGTGAACATGAAGAGACATTAGGGTGATACCGCTATGAAGTAAATAATGCCGTAGATTCCCAGCAAACTACTAGAAGCTAGGAGGGAGACAGAATAGACTTTAACTCAAAGCCCTCAGAAAAAAACTAACCCTGCCAGACCTCAAACTTCTAGCCTCCAGAACCAATTGTGACACAATAAGTTTCTGTTGTTTAACATACCTGCTTGTGAAATTTTGTTAGGGTAGGCCTAGTAAACTATTTAGTAGAATTCTTATTTTAGAAAAAAAGGAATTATATAAAAGGTTTAATATAAATCATCTAAGCTTCTGCTTTAAGAAGCTATAAAAAGAACAAATTTTATAAAACAGTAGGTAGAATAAAGGAGATAATAGAGATAATAGTGGCAATTAATTAACTAGAAAATTGGTAAACAATTGAGAAAATCAATGAAATCTACACAAATGAAATCAAACAAAATCTAGACTGAACAAATAAAGAAATAGAGAAATACCAATACACCAATAGAGAAATATACCTTACCCATGGCTTGTAATATCCAATATTATTCCAAAGTTAATTCCAAATCAATATGCAGACAAAGTAATTACAATAAAAATCTCAGCAAGTTTCTTTGTTTCAATATGGAAAAACAAACTGCCTAGAACAGCCACAACAGTCTGCAAAAGAAAAAAGAAAAAAAAAAGAGAATACCACATGATCTTACTTATATGTGGAATCTTAATTTTAAAAAGTTTGGGTATCATAGAAGCAGAGAGTAGAAGAGTGGTTACCACAGACTAGGAAGGGAGGAGAGAGGAGAGGATGGGGAAGGGTTGGTCAATGGGTACAAAGTTACAATCAAACAGGAAGAATAAGTTCTGGAATCCTATTGCACAATAGGATGACAGATAGTTAACAACAAGATATTGCACATTACAAGATAGATAAATGAGAGGCTTTTGAATGTTCTTTCCACCAAAAATAAAAAGATAAAGACATGAGGTGAGGATAGCTAACTACCATGACTTGATTATTGCACAACATATATGAATATATATGTAAATATATATGTACAACATATAAATATATATATACACAATGATCAAGATATATATATATATATATATATATATATATATATATATATATATATATATATAAAATTAGTCTGTTTTCACACTGCTGATAAAGACATATTCGAGACTGGGAAGAAAAAGAGGTATAATGGACTTAAAGTTCCACATGGCTGGGGAGGCCTCACGATCATGGCGGAAGACAAGGAGGAGCAAGTCACGTCTTACATGACTGGTGGCAGGCAAAGAGAGAGAGAGTTTGGTCAGGGAAACTCCAGTTTTTAAAACCATCAGATCTCAATACTCATTCACTGTCATGAGAACAGCGGAGGAAAGACCCACCGCCATAATTCAATCACCTTTCACTGGATTCCTCTCATGACAGGTGGGAATTGTGGGAGTTAGAATTCTAGGTGAGATTTGGGTGTGGACACAACCAAACCATATCATTCCACCCCTGGCCCCTCCCAAAGCTCAGGTCCTCACATTTTAAAACCATTCACGTCTTCCCAACAGTCCCCCAGAGTCTTAATTCATTTCAGCATTAACTCAAAAGTCTACAGTCCAATGTCTTATCTGAGACAAAGCAAGTCCTTTATACCTATGAAAGGATTTGCTTAAGATAGTCATGCTTCAGTAGGTATTTAGTAAATGAATGAATGAGAACTGAGGCAGTATGATTTGGAGGCTCTTTCCTCTTCTGAGACCATTGTATATGTATTACTAGATGAGGTAGATAGTTTTTCCATTCTGTTATTGGTTTTGTCCCTCTGATTTTTTTAACCAAATCATTCTTTTAAAAATTGAAATTCTTTGTTAAGCATTTTTAAAAAGAAATTTTAAATCCCATAGACTAAAAGAAGAATGTATATAAAAAATTATTTGTTAGGGAGTTTTTTTTCACCGTGATGGGCATGTTCATGTTGAAAATACTCCATGAATATGGAACTGCTTGCAGTTTTACACTACAGGGGAAAAACATTTTCTAGATTCCATAATTCTTTCACTAATATCTTCCAGTTAACATAACCTCCCACTTACCGTCTGTCCACATACTCTATTTCCAGTTTTTATCTCAAAGTACAGTTTGCTGATTTCTATTAAAATTCATAGATTCATAAACTGGTCCTGGGAGAAATCATTTGGTTCAACTGAAACCAAGCAGAGATGATGCCTACAAGACTGTGAAAGTCAAAATGGAAATAGGCTTGTGATCTGCTCGACCTTTGATACATTTGTGCCCTTCACCCAGACTAAATAACAGACCAGCTTCATTTCAAACTGAGATAAAATTTCCAAGCGTTGTGACTAATTATTTCATCCCAGTAAATTCTGATTGACAGGGTATATGTAATATATATTCACATATACTATGTATGTTGTGATTGATTAGAAAATGGAAAATTAATTAAAAACTATTTTCTAAATGTAGTTTTCCTACCCGAGAAAGTTTTTTTTAAATGGGTCATATAGGGGCCGGGCATGGTGACTCACATCAGTAATTCCAGCCCGTTGGGAGGCCGAGGTGGGCGGATCACGAAGTCAGGAGATCCTGGTTCATACGGTGAAACCCTGTCCTACTGAAAACACAAAAAATTAGCCGTGCATGGTGGCGGGCGCCTGTAGTCCCAGCTACTCCGGAGGCTGAGGCAGGAAAATGGCGTGAACCCAGGAGGCGGAGCTTGCAGTGAGCCGAGGTTGCACCACTGCACTCTAGCCTGGGCAACAGAGCGAGACTCTGTCTCAAATAAAAAAATAAAATAAAATAAAGTCATATAGATGGAAAAAAATTAATAAAAATTGTCTTTAATATAAAAAGTGTATGAACTATTAAGCTAGTCAATGTTTTTTTCCATAAATAGAAGTGAGCCCAAAAGGTAAAGTTAGTGGCTCAGATTTGTGTAAGAAGCTATTGGAAGAGCAAGATTTGAATCCTAGTTACCTTGGTCTCCTGGTTCTTTCAGGTATATACACATATCTCAATGAACTTTATTATATATTAATTTGTTTATGACCTTATAATTTCAAAACAAGTCATGGTCTTTTAGTCTATTTAAAATAAAATGAATAGAAATAGAGATATGATAAACTGTGTGCAAAGATAGGTTTCTATATCCCTGAAACATATCATCATACCACCTAATTTGCTTATAGTTTCAAACTCTTAAAAGTTCTATGAAATCTGATCTCACATTTCATCTCGTCAACAACCTTATAATATATTATCACATAACATATATGAAAGGATACATTGGATGGAATTTGCCAGCACAGCTGCTTCTATTGGGCCAGCAGAAGGAAGCACTGTGTCATTGGTTGTGGTGGTAGTTGGGGATGTAGGCAGTGGATGAGGGAGCTCTGTGCTTGGACCTGGTCTGTTGTCAACCTAAGCAATAACATAATTCTTCTGAACTTCCATCCTTCTCGTATGTTAAAAGCAGAAGATACTGATACCAATAATCTTACAGGGTTTTGGTAAAGATTAAATAAGTTACTACACGTAAAGAAATATGTAAACAAAACCTACCCTATAATATTTATCACATTTATTTTAGTACACTTAACATTTCCATTGATACAGAGAATATATTTTTTTATTAACAAGACTACTGATAAAAAAATTTAAAAACTAAAAATAATGTTGATTGAAAAAAAAGCTTTAGATAAGGGAATAAATAGCTAAACACATAGAAAGGAAATCATTTCCTTTAGTTCAGTATAATCCCTCTGGGCTCTGCATTTACCAGTTTTCCCCCACTAAGGGTTAAAATGACAAGGTAATCCACTAGCTCCCCTAACACATCCTATATTTCGTCTGCAGTGTTCCCTTGACTTGTCTGATTATAAGAATATAGATTGTTTTTTTCAGTGGACGTGAGGTACGGCCAGTGAACCTATATTTTTAACAAACTTTCCAGTTGTTATTTATAATCTAAAAAGTTTCAGAACACTGCCTGAAGCAACAAGCAAATCTAGATAGTTCCTCTGAGAGAGGAAAGCATAGCCATACACAGCTAACTCTAAGAGACAGGCAGCTTCCCATGCTGGAGTTTAAGATGTGAGATTCAAGTTCACAGCTGCCATCCTGCTGCTTTATCATTAGTATTTCCCAAGTTTCTGCTGCCCAATTAAAGATAGATCACCACATTGTCCCTTGAAAAGCAAAATAGCCAAATATCTGCATAGCTCTTAAACACTTTTTTAAAACTGAGATCATGAAAACATGTAAAAATATACAAGAGGTAGGTAACAAAAAGAAATGGATGCCCACTTAATACTGTTAATTTAAATAAGTGAAGAACCAGAAAATCCCTTAGTCACAATGGACGTCTCTTCTGTTGAATGATAACAAATGTCTTCTTCCTAAGATGACCTGGCAAGGGGGAGTGATGCCATCCCATCCAGGAAACTGTGATTGCGTAAGGCTAGGTTCCTGAAACAAGCTGAATCAAGCAGCATTTACCTTAGGTTTTTGACTGTGAGAGCAAGGAAAGTTGTTGTCAGTGTCTGCTGAAGGGAAAAATTAATAGATGTGAGTCTGGAACTCCCACTTGCCATATGTGGATGCCATTATACAGAGGGGGAAAAAAAAGGAATGTTTCAAGAGAGAGCAGAAGATAAGAAATTGAAGGAGAGTATCTTGGAGTTTTTTCCCACCCTCTTCCCATTCATATCCCAGACCTGGCTAAAGCTATAATTTTCCTGCATCTTTCTGGAGTGGGCAAAAAACAAAACAAAAACACTATGTCTTTTTCCCTAGTTATATATCTGTCATATGCAACTGGAAGGACACTGATTGGTACAATAAATTGTCACACATTTCAGATGTAAAAACAAGTAGCTCCTAAATAATCGCTCTCAGAATTTGGAACTTTTTCAACAACAAAAAAGGATTTTTAGGGGCAAAATAGAGTACTTTTTCACTAGTGATATCTCATGAATGCCAATTTCAGAAAAAATAAAATATTTTCTCTTAATTTGAAGAAATATAAAGTTGAAATTACTTGAGTAGCACCTATTGCTCTGACTGGCATTTTTCAATATTGCTACTGCACATGCATGCTATCGCAAACTCAGGTCAGTAATAAAAAAATTATTTGGAAGATGTTATATCCTGAAGAAAATGTCAGATCATTCTCATCTTTGTAATTTCATATATGCTTTTAATCTTCGACATGACTGCAAAAATATTTTCCATCCATAATCATTCAGGACAGCCTTTCTGAAGAGATATATTTTGTACAGAATTTAAAACAAAGCCCAGGGATTTTTTGTTCAGATGACCTGGGAATGCACATAGGATTCATACCAGGTTTTATCTTTATTTCAGGAAACGTTCATCATTTAAAGATATTTAGAAGTTTGCAAATGGGCTCTTCCTGAGTGAAAATTTTTGCTGCCTTGGAAGAAGTTTTTTCAATATAAAACTATTAAATAAAATTCAGTCTCTTAATTAAATTTGCTAAAAGGAACATATAAACAACATATGTCCATTGTGTTGGTCTACATAGTATCTATTAGAAAAAAAAAAGAAAGAAAAATGACATTAATCTTTCCTGTTTTTATGATCCATTTGCTACATTTTGAGACATGTCCTGTTATGTCTATTGTCTTAAACAGTCATCTTTGATTCTCCTATTTGTGATTGTTGGTAGAAAAAAGCATAGGAGTTTTTCTCATTACAGATAGGAATTAGGAGTTTCAACTCAAATCTGAGATATGCATTGTCTACATGGAAGAAGAAAAATGGAGAAAATACACAGGTTGTGGTTGGTTTATTATTATTTTTTCCTGATAAATTACTATGGCAGAAAGCAGGCACATAAAGAAACTCTGTATCATGAAGGTTTGCTTTGACCTTCAGCATTTACTATTCAAGAAGGGGCGCTAGAAGATATAGACACCTGCAACCAAGATATTACAAGCCATGGGAGCAGAGTTAGTTGGAACAAATGAAAAAACTTATTTGTAATACATTCAGTTCCCTGGAGAAATTTTAAGAATGCATAATATACAACATTAGCATCTAGAAATTCTTGGTGATGCATAGTTAGAGTTAACAAATAAATTAGTAAAAACCTAAAAATTAACTCTTCTCTAGGCTATTTCAAATAATGATAGTAAAATGAGCTTCCTTGAACACTACGTGGAACTCATCTATTGATTTTACTTTAAGTTAGGCTGAATTTAATATAAAGTTGTACTGAACAATAAGGCCTAATGATTTTCATGCACTTAAAATGTCCTAGGCAATAATCTCAGGGCTTAATTGGTATTAATTTATTTAATTCTCTAAACAACCTCATGAAGAAAATGGGGCATAGAGATTTAAGCAGCTTGGGCAATGTCATATAGCTAGTTGTAGTGTAGCACAACCAAGACAACAGCACAGCAATCTGGATTCGGAGCTCACGCTTGTTAATTTACTTATACCCACCTGGAAGAAAAAGATATAAGACCACTTAGGAAGACATATATAACACACAAAGATAATGTGAATTCAAGTAGATGAAATGTCAATTTCCAGTAACAATGGGCTAGACACTTTGTATTAAACTCTGACTGAGAGCAACTAGTAAAACTGGGGAAAAATTTTTAAATCATCAGTAGGAAGGCAGCAAAATGCCAATAATGTGGTGCACAATTATTTGGCCAGTATCTGAGGAAAAAAATAAGCTCAGAGATGTAAACTAACTATGAGTTTTGCCTTTTCTAGAAGGACTGCCTGAAACTCTGAGAGACTGACAGCCTTGAGCTCAGGACAGGAATTAGAGTCCATGGCATATCAAGTGTAGTGGGTATTGGAGAACATTATTGGTTAGAACCAGAAGGGTGGCACCCACAGACTAAGGGTGAAGTGAAAGGAGGCAGCCGGTTGAAATAATTAATTGGGAGGCCATTAAACAGAGGCAGCTCCAGTGCCCTGGTTTCCTGCATAAGCAAACTGAGATCCAACTCGGTATAAACAGTCACATTCTAGGTAAGCAAAACTTCATCTTAACCCATCAGAAACTGCCAACCAACCTCTAACTAGGAACTTTTTACTAGGATCATTCAAATAAAGTGTTTCAATAATTAAGTGGCAGGCCATTAGGCTAAGACAGCTCCTGTGCCATGGGTTCCACCACAAGCAAAGAAAAACTCAATTCGATGTAAACAGTAAAAGGAAACTGAAGCTTAACCAACCACAGTCAACTGGCCTTTAGTTATATAACTAGGAACTTTTCATTAGATCATACCCAAATAAGGAAAATGCCTCGCTGTAGCTAGTCAAGTAATTTCTTTACTTTGCTTCTGTGTTCAGCCTATCAGACCCTGCTGCTCATGCTGCTACAGCAGAGCTCTCTGAACCTCTTCTGGTTCTGAGTGCTGTCTGATTCATGAACTGTTCTTTGTTCAAATAAACTCTGCTAAATTTAATTTGCTTAAAATTTTTAAAGCTACTTTAACCAAAAAAATATTTTCTTTGCCTTGCTTTCACATTCACTTTATATAAGCTTTCTCATTGTGTCTCTTTGGTGGAGTTCTGAACTGTTTCCGGTCTGGAGCTGTTTGCAGAATATATAAAGAATTGTTACAACTCAGTAACTTTTAAGCAACTCAATTTAAAAATGAGGCAAAGATTTGAATAGATATTTCAACAAAGAAGATATTTAAATAACTAATAGGCTCGGCCCAGTGGCTCACGCCTGTAATCCCAGCACTTTGGGAGGCCAGGGCTGGCGGCTCACAAAGTCAAGAGATCGAGAAAATCCTGGCCAAAATGGTGAAACCCTGACTCTACTAAAAATACAAAACTTAGCTGGGCATGGTGGCGGGTGCCTGTAATCCCAGCTACTCAAAAGGCAGAGGCAGGAGAATCGCTTGAACCCAGGAGGTGGAGGTTGCAGTGAGCCAAGATCCTGTCAATGCACTCTGACCTGGCGACAGAGAGAGACTCCGTCTCAATCAATCAATCAATAAAAAACACATGCAAATTTGCTCAACACATAAAAACTTTTGCATTTACATTGACAGAAATGCATTTACATTGTATTTACATTGACAGAAATGCCACAATGACTTACCACTTTACACTCACTAAGGTGGATATAATAAAAAAGATAGTTGATAACAAGAGTTGGTGACGATGTGGAGAAATTAAGAGCCTTCATACATTACTGGTTAGAATGTAAAATGCTGTGACCCCTTCGGAAAACAGTCTGGCAGTTCCACAAAAGGTTAAAGATAAAATTACCATATGAGTCAACAATTTTGTGCCAGGAGAAATAAAAATATATGTTCACACAAAAACTGTACATGAATGGCAGAGCAGCATTATTTATAATAGCCAAAAGGCCAATGCAACACAATATCCAACAGATGAATGGGTAAACAAAATATGCAGTGGAATAGAAGTTTGCATACTAATATATGCTATAACATGGATGAATTTCTAAAAGCAGTTACAAAAGACCATACATATATTATCACATTTATATGAAATGGCCATGGTTATTGAATCTGTACGGAGAAAATAGATTAGGGCTGCATAGGCTTGGAGGTTGGGGAAAAAATTGAGAGTGAGAACTAAGGAGTATAAGGTTTCCTTGAGGATTAATAAAATGTTCTAAAATTAGATTATGATGATAGTCATATACTATATAAATATGCTAAATAAACATTGAATTGTACACTTTAAACGAAAACTTTAAGTCATGCAAATGATAATCTCAATTCAAAAAAAAGACGAAATTATACAACTGATAAGCTAAAATTAAATTTTTAATTGAAAATGTTCCACAAAGGAACATCAGGTCTTAATGGCTTTACTGGTGGTGAATTATACCCAATGTTTAAGGAAGAAATAATGTCAATCCTACCTAAATCCTTTCAGAAAACATAGGAAAAGAAATGTGGAAGCTAATCCTTTCAGTATTTCTTAGTGAAGGGTCCCAGCCTTCTGAGCAACAGAATTTGACAATGTACAAAGACTGAGAATACCTACTTTTGTTCCCCAGACATATTAGTTCTTCACATTTTGAAAGTATTAAACCCACAGAAAAGATTTACATTTCAGAGAGGAAAGAGGCACTGGGTTATTTGTTTACATTACAGAGAGCGGTAAACTTGGGACCTCCTTCTTATTCATTTCTCAGAGATTTGTTTACATTATGAAGATTCATTTTCTCTACTTTCTCTAGGTTTGTCTTGTGTCTTAGGAGACACAGGTGGTAACTGGGCTGTTTGTAGTCTATATAAATTCTCAGATTCATAATTTATGAGCTCTTCTCTTGTAGTGCAAATATTCCTTTTCTGTACATGCAGCCCCAATTATCTGTTGTAAATAATAGATTGGTCCTTATCCGGAAACCTCACTTTGCTTTCAGGACAGTATAAATATCTATAGATGTTAAATATTTACTGAGAATGCTTTCTGAATCATTTTGTGATGCAAGCATTACTCTGATACCAAAACAAAGACATTATAAGAAAACTACAGATCAATATCTTCCATTGAATAATGAACACAAACACAACAATTTTTTTAAATGTAAGATGATCATTTTCAACTATATATGACAAGAATGCACCATGAACAAATACTGTCTTTTCCAATAATGCAAGTTCATTTTAACCTTAAAAACTCAATGTACTTCAAGCCAGGTGCAGTGGCTCATGCCTGTAACCCTAGCACCTTGGGAGGCCGAGGCAGGTGGATTGCCTGAGGTCAGGAGTTTGAGACCAGCCTGGAAAGTATAGTGAAACCTCGTCTTTACTAAAAATACAAAAAATTAGCTGGGCGTGGTGGTGGGTGCCTGTAATCCCAGCTACTCAGGAGGCTGAGGCAAGAGAATGGCTTGAACCCGGGAGGCAGAGGTTGCAGTGAGCTGAGATTGTGCCATTGCACTCCAGCCTGGGCAACAAGCATGAAGCTCCATCTCAAAAAAAAAAAAAAAAAAAATCAATGTACTTTAGCATATTAGCTAAATAAAGCATAAAACACATACAATCATCTCAATAGGTGAACATTTGACAAAAATAAATTTGACAAAAATCAAGACATGCACATTAAAACTATAAAACATGACCAAGAGAAATGATTAAAGACAAGTAAATTGAGAGCTGTATTATATTCACGGATTGGAAGGCTCAGTACCATTAACATGTCAATTTTCCACATAACAATTCATAGATTGAACTCAATTACAATCAAGATACCAGCCATGTTGTCATAAAAACTGATAAGCTGATTGTAAAATGTATATAAACATGCAAAGAACATGGAATGGCCAAATAATTTTGACTAAGTCAAACAAAGTTAGGGAAGATACACTAACATATTTTAAGATTTACTAATCAAGACAGTGTGATATTAGCAAAAGAACAGGCATAAATATCAGTGCAATGCAATACAGAGGCCTATACTAATCACAGTTACAGGGTCAACTGATTTTTTAAAGATGCCAACGTATTTCAATAGTGAATGAACACTTTTTTTAAAACAAATTCTGCTAAACTAATTATTAATATGAAGAAAATAAGCCTCAAATCTTGTTTCACATCATATACCCAAAAACCAAACTGAAATACATCCTAGACCTAATGTACAAGCTGAAACTATGAAACTTCCAGACAACATATAGACAAAAATCTTTTGAACTTGAGATAGGAAACATTTTTATAGATAGCACATCAAATGTAGAAACCATAAGTTAAAAAAAAAGGCGAAAGAGACTTTTATCTTAATTTTATTTCTGTTTGAAGATACCTTTATGAAAAGGAAAAGCCAAGCCCCAATACAGAAAGTATTTGTAGTACATATTGACTGGAAGATGACAAAGACTCCAATTAAAATATTGGTAAAAATTCAGGCAGACACTTTACAAAAGAAGATAAAATATGAAGAGTCAGGACATGCAAAAGATATTCAATATCATTAGTCATTTGAGAAATCCAAATTAAAATTATGAGATACTACTACATGTTTAGTGGCTAAAATAACATAGTAAAGACTGATAATACTACACGGTAATAGGATGCAAAAGAACCAACACTCTCGTACGTCACTGCTGCGAAGGTAAAAGTGCACAACCCATTTGGAAAAATCTTTGACAGTTTATTATACATGTAAACATACACTGACCACACAGCCTATCCATTTCATTTCCATGCTATTATCTAACAGGAATGACAACTTATGTGCATGGGAAGATGGGCCTACTTGTAGAAACTTTATTCATAATAGCCAATAACTAGAAATATCCTAAATGTTCAACAACAGATGAATGAATTTTTGAACAAATTATAGTATATCCATAACATACGCCTCCAATAAAAGAATGAATTACTATATATGTAACACAATGAATGAATATAAAAAACACTATTTAAATGTTTTTCCATTTGTTTGTGTTATCTCTTATTTCCTTGAGCAGTGGATTCTAGTTCTTCTTAAAGAGGTCCTTCACATCCCTTGTAAGTTGTAATCCTAGGTATGTTATTCTTTTTGTAGAAATTGTGAATTGGAATTCACTCATGATTTGGCTCTCTGTTTGTCTATCATTGGTGTATAGCAATGCTTGTGATTTTGCACATTGATTTTGTATCCTGAGACTTTGCTGAAATTGTTTATCAGCTTAAGGAGATTTCGGGCTGAGACGATGGGGTTTTCTAAATATACAACCATGTCATCTGCAAACAGAGATAATTTGACTTTCTCTCTTCCTATTTGAATATCCTTCATTTCTTTCTCTTGCCTGATTGCCCTGGCCAGAACTCCCAATACTATGTTGAATAGGAGTGGTGAGAGAGTGCATCCCTGCCTTGTGCTGGTTTTCAAAGGGAATGCTTCCAGCTTTGGCCCATTCAGTAAGATATTGGCTGTGGGTTTGTCATAAATAGCTCTTCCTATATTTTAAGATATGTTCCATCAATACCTAGTTTATTGAGAGTTTTTTGCATGAAGTGGTGTTGAATTTTATCAAAGGACTTTTCTGCAACTATTGAGATAATCGTGTGGTTTTTTTCATTGGTCCTGTTTATGTAATGGATTATGTTTCTTGATTTGCGTATGTTGAACCAGCCTTGCATCCCAGGGATGGAGCCAACTTGATCGTGGTGGATAAGCTTTTTGATGTGCTGCTGGATTCGGTTTGCCAGTATTTTATTGAGGGTTTTCACATTGATGTTCATCAGGGATATTGGCCTGAAATTTTTTGTTGTCGTTGTGTCTCTGCCAGGTTTTGGTATGAGGATGATGCTGACATCATAAAATGAGTTACGGAGGATTCCCTCTTTTTTCTATTGTTTGCAATAGTTTCAGAAGGAATGGTACCAGCTCTTCTTCGTATCTCTGGCAGAATTTGGCTGTGAATCCGTCTGGTCCTGGGATTTTTTTTTTTTTTGATTGGTAGGCTATTAATTACTGCCGCAATTACAGAACTTGTTATTGGCATGGATAGGAAAACTCAATATCTTGAAAATGGCCATATTGCCCAAAGGGATTTATAGATTCAATGCTATCCTCATCAAGCTACCACTGACTTTCTTCACAGAATTAGAAAAAAACTACTTTAAATTTCATATGGAACCAGAAAAAAAGCCCATATAGCCAAGACAATCCTAAGCAAACAGAACAAAGCTGGAGGCATCCCGCTACCTGAATTCAAACTATACTACAAGCCTACAGTAACCAAAACAGCATGGTACTGGTACAAAAACAGATATATAGACCAATAGAACAGAACAGAGACTTCAGAAGTAATACTATACATCTACAGCCATCTGATCTTTGACAAACCTGAAAAAAACAAGCAATAGGGAAAGGATTCCCTACCTAATAAATGGTGGGAAAACTAGCTAGCCATATGCAGAAAGCTGAAACTGGACCCCTTCCTTACACCTTATACAAAAATTAACTCAAGATGAATTAAAGACTTAAACTAAGACCTAAAACCATAAAAACCCTAGAAGAAAACCTAGGCAATACCATGCAGGACATAGGCATGAGCAAAGACTTCATGACTAAAACACCAAAGGCAATGGCAACAAAAGCCAAAATCGATCAATGGGACCTAATTAAACTAAAGAGCTTCTGCATAGCAAAAGAAACTATCATCAGAGTGAACAGGCAACCTACAGAATGGGAGAAAATTTTTGAAATCTATCCATCTGACAGAGTGCTAATATACAGAATCTACAAGGAACTTAACAAATTCTCAAGAAAAAAACAACCCCATCAAAAAGTGGGTGAAGGATATGAACAGATACTTCTAAAATAAGACATTTATGTAGCCAAAAAACATGTGAAGAAAAGCTCATCATCACTGGTCATTAGAGCAATGCAAATCAAAACCACAACAAGATACCATCTCATGCCAGTTAGAATGGTGATTATTAAAAAGTCAGGAAACAACAGATGCTAGAGAGGATGTGGAGAAATAGGAATGCTTTTTCACTGTTGGTGGGAGTATAAATTAGTTCAACCATTGTGGAAGACAGTTCTAGATCCTCAAGGATCTAGAATGAGAAATACCATTTGACTCAGCAATCCCATTACTAGGAATATACCCAAAGGATTTTAAATCATTCTACTATAAAGATATATACACACGTATGTTTATTGCAGCACTATGCACAATAGCAAAGACTTGGAACCAACTCAAATGGCCATCAATGATAGACTGGATTAAGAAAATGTGGCACAGATACACCATGGAATACTATGCAGCCATAAAAAATGTTGAATTCATGTCCTTTGCAGGGACATGGATGAAGCTGGAAACCATAATTCTCAGCAAACTACATAGGAATAGAAAACCAAACACCACATGTTCTCACTCGTAAGTGGGAGTTGAACAATGAGAACACATGGACACAGGGAGGGGAACATCACACAACAGGTCCTGTCAGGGATCAGGGGCTAGGGGAGGGATAGCATTAAGAGAAATACCTAATGTAGATGACAGGTTGGTGGGTGCAGCAAACCACCATGGGACGTGTATACCTATGTAAGAAACCTGCATGTTCTGCACATGTATCCCAGAAGTTAAAGTATAATAATAATTTTAAAAAAACACTGTTTGAGCAAAAGAAGCCAGGAACAAAAGTTGACATAATATGTTACTCTATTTACATGAAACTCAATTTGAATTCTAGTCTACAGACTAGAAAAGCATATCAGTGGTCGTCTGGGTCCAGAAATTTGTGGTGGGGATAGAATGTAAAGGAGTACAAGAGAAAATCACATGATTGTAGGTGTGCCGCCTTATTTCTGGGTTATCTATTCTGTTTCATTGGTCTATGTGTCTGTTTTTGTACTAGTGCCATGCTGTTTTGGTTATTGTATCCCTGTAGTATAGTTTGAAGTCAAGTGGCATGATGCCTTCAGCTTTGCTTTTTTGCTTGGGATTTCCTTGGCTATTCGGTCTGCTTTTTTGTTCCATATGAATTTTAAAATAGTTTTTTTTGTAGTTCTGTGAAGACTCTAAATGGTAGTTTAATAGGAATTGCATTAAATATTTAAAGTGCTTTGGCCATTGTAGCCATTTTTATGATATTGATTCTTCCTATCCATGAGCATGGAATGTTTTTCCATTTGTTTGTGTTATCTCTGATTTCTTAGAGCAGTGTTTTGTACTTCTTATAGAGATCTTTCACTCTCTGCAGAGCTGTATTCCTATATATTTTATCATTTTTAAGGCAATTATGAATGGGATTACATTCCTGATTTAACTCTTGGCTTGCCTCTTGTTGGCATATTGGAATACTAATGATTTTTGCACAATGATTTTGTATCCTGAGACTTGGCTTAAGTTGTTTATAAGTTTAAGGAGTTTTTGGGCTGAGACTGCAGTTTTCTAAGTATCTGACAAAGGTCTAACATCCAGCATCTATAAGGAACTTAAATAAATTAACAAGAAAAAAACAATGCCATTAAAAATGGGCAAAGGACCTGAGAAGATACTTTCCAAAAGAAGACATACATGTGGCCAACAGTCATATGAAAAAAAGCTAAACATCACTGATTATTAGAGAAACACAAATCAAAATCACAATGAGATATCATCTCACACCAGTCAGAATGGCTATTAGTAAAAAGTCAAAAAATAACAGATGCTGGCGAGGTTGTGGAGAAAAAGGAATGCTTATACACTGTTGGTGGGAGTGTAAGTTAGTTCAATCACGTGGAAGATAGTGTGGTGATTCTTCAAAGATTTGGAACCAGAAATACCATTCAACCCAGCAATCTCATTACTGGGCATATATCCAAAGGGATATAAATCATTATATTATAAAGTCACATGCACACTTGTGCTCATTGCAGCACTATTCACAATAGCAGACATGGAATCAACCTCAGTGTCCATCAGTGATACACTAGATAAAGAAAATGTGGTACATATACTACATGAAATACTCTGCAGCCATAAAAACCAATGGGATAATGTCTTGCAGGTACATGAATGGAGCTGGTGGCCATTATCCTCAGCAAACTAACACAGAAACAGGAGAACAAATACCACATAGTCTTAGTTATAAGTGGGAGCTAAACAATGAGAATACATGGACACATAAAGGAAAACAAAACACACGGGGGCCTCTTGGAGGGTGAAGGTTGGAGGGTGGAGGGTGGGAGGAGGGAGAGGATCAGGAGAAATAACTAATGGGTACTAGGCTTAAACCCGGGGTGACGAAACAATCTGTGCATCAAACTCCCAAGACACAAGTTTACCTATATAGCACACGTGCACAGATACCCTTGAACTTAAAAGTGTTTTTTTCTTAAAGGAATACAAAAGAATTTTATGAGGTCATGTAAAGCTATAAATTGTGAAAAATGAGACTCTGAGAGCCTGGGTTGGTTTGAATAGAAATATATAATGGACACTGTATAAGAAACAAATGAGAATTTTGGAGCTGATTTGGGAGAACTGTTAATGAGAGAGGCAGGGAAGAAGGAAGAGTGTGGAGGGGAGGAATATGAGTTGCAAAACATAGGGAACGATTATGATCAAATTTGTCTAAGAGTTAAGTTGTTTGCCTTCCCGTGAGATAAAACTCCATCATGCCAAATTTTCATAAAGTCTAGGACATACAAATGGCTTGTATGAAATTCCATTCCATACCTGAATCCATGAGAAGCTAAAAGAAGGGAATTCTTTGGAAGTTAAAAACTACCGATGGTAGCAGTGCTGTAGAAACAGGTTCTTGAAGTGAAAATAACCAAGAGAATTTAAATCACTGGGAATTTAGAAAAAGAGGCATGAGAAAAATGGCAAGCCTGAGCTGTTCACTGGGTCACAGATTTACTTTCCACAGTAACCAGCATGGCATCTTGAACATCAGAGATACTCAAAAATATGTGCTGAATAAATTGATAAATTAAAAATGTGATGTCTATAGGGTTTAAAGCATTAAGCAAAATTTTTGCAACTGTCAAAAATATTCCTATTAATTCTTCATTGATTGCTCTCTATATCATATTGTGTTGAATTATTAATTTAAAATGTCTGCATTTTTTCCATTCTATGCAGCTTTGGTTTGTTTGAACAATTTATTCCTTCATTATATAATGCAGAACTGATTTAGTGAAAAATTGATTATCTACCTTTGGTGAGGTGGCATCCTTGTCATTCTCCTGCTTTCAGACATGAAGCTATACTCTTCTCTCAGTGTAAAAATGTCATGTTTAACATCAATACATTGCATGACAGATTATGGTAAGAAGTTAAGTCAGTGCTTATTTTAAGAGATCACAACCTTAAGGTTAATTGTGCATCTTGCATCTAATCTAATATCAATTTATCAATGGATAATTAGGAGCATGGGAAGGTGAAGAACTTTTGCTTTATAGTCCTTTTGAGCCAGGATGAAGGAAAAATAATTCCTCAGTTTCCCACAATCCCACACCCTGGAGATAGGGATTACAGCTCCAATTTTTAGTCAGTTAGATTAGTTGGTGATTTCAGATCACCACCCAATGAACTGATTCTTATTGGCATAAAAACTGAAAAAACAACTGGTAAATGTTGAGCAGTTAGGTGGGTAGATCTTGTAAAGCCACTGAGTGGTCAGGATTATTACATACAATTTTAGTAGCTTATTCTGACTTAAAAGAAGAACTTGATAATCAAAGTGCTTTTTAAAATTAGTATAGGTTTTAGGGAGTAGCTGATGCTGAGAACATGTGCACTTCAATTGAACAAGTTGTAATATAGAAAGAAGTGCTCGTTACTTTCATAGAAATAGGAATTTGTACTCATTTAGTAAAGAAGCTAAAAAGAAAAAGTGAAGCAGTGACTCCCGTTGAGAAATCAATGCTAGCAAACATTAATTCACACCTGTTAACTGGAGTGCATTGGCCTGGAGACAGCACCAGGTGTGCCTTTACTCACTGCTTGAAGTAATTGAAATAAATTGCTCTGTATCCTTAAGCACTTTGGGCTTAAATTGACCCATTGAAAATCATTTTATTTTTTCATTTTTTCCTTCATTTTGTAAAGTCTGCACATTTTCAGTAATAGAGTACTTTTCCACAAGATATTGAAATACGAGAACTGAACGGTTGCTTGTAGTATTTATGAAGCTATTTTGTTGAAAGAAAATCAAGTTGAACAACTAAATCTGTGTCTCCATAGGAGCTTATTTGATTATATCAGAGTCAGAATTCTAAATTGTGAGGCAATGAGAAAATTAATTTGCATTTATCTTCAGAGAAGTCTGACTTAATGCCGTAGAATCTGAGTAGTAAATATGATAGCTAAGAAATTAATTACTTGGTTCCTGGGAGACCGTTTTAACACTATTGTATAATACTGGAAGATATTCAATAATGTCTGTTAGTTTGAAATGGAGTAAAATATAACATAGCATTGGAATAGGGAAAAAAATGAGAGATTTAGAGATGGATCTAAAAGTAAAAGCAGTAAGAAAAATAAATGAATCAAAATTGAAGAGATGATTTAATATTTTATTACTGATTAAACACATCTTTTATTTTGGGCCCTATAGTAACTAAGTAGAAAAACAAATGTCCTTGCTACTATCACATCAATATTATTCTTGAGTATCCAAGTGGTGAATGTGTATAGATGAGTGGCTTTTAATATTTAATTCAGCCTGAAATACGTCATTTTGGTTAAATATGCTTTGGAACCCGGCTTATTCAGTTAAACCAGCCATGTTTCTAAAGGAAGATAATTGTTAAAATTTCATTTTACAGAAAAAAGTTAAAAATTACTATTTTGAGTTTGCTAAAATCTTATTCTATTCCTGTGTACTGTGTTTTAAAAGAAAACATATAAACTTTTGTAGATATACGTTATTTCCTTTGAATAACATTAATATCAATCCAAATTATATCAAAACAAGAGTCATGAACATTTGTCACACCAATTAAATACTAATTTATAGGGTCTTCATTCAAATGGTGATCTAGGCATTTAACATATCATTTCTTTTACATTTTCTGTTGAGTTATAATTGCAGAAAATGAAAAGTTATGAATATAATAGTGATTCTATATGTTATCTATATACACACTTTTAATGAATGATTTGCACAGATTTTTTATTATTTTCTTTTTGTCTAAGATATGTTTTGTTTATATATATAGGAATATAATTTCATGTCAGTTGAATCTACTAATAAAATTGAGATTTGTGCACTTTATTTCATTTTTCTAGTAATTTATTTTTATTGCATTTAACAAAAGCATCAGTTAGAGAGGGGCTGAAGAAGAACAAAATGGTCATTCATTACAGATCTTTGAGGAGCAATACTGTAATCTACTGAAATGTAGAACCACAAGTCAATAATAAAGAAGCAAACCACCTAATTAAAAAATGGGCAAAGGACTTGAACTGACATTTCTCTGAAAAATATATACAAATGGCAAATAAACACATAAAAACATGGTCAATATAACTAGTCATTAGGGAAATGCCAATCAAAATCACAATGATATACCAATCCACATCCATTAAAATGGCTGTCATTTAAAAAATGGAAATTAACAAATGTTGGCAAGAGTATGAAGCAATCACAACTCTTGTGCATTGTTCGTTGAAATGTAAAAGGACCCAGCCACTGTGGAAGTTAAACAGTTTGGCAGTTTCTCAAAAAAATTAAACATCGAATCACAATACCTGTCATAATTTCACTTTTAAGTATACTACATACTTAAAATAATTGAAAGCAGGGACTCAAACAGACACATGTACATCCATGTTCATAGAAGCATTATTCACAACAGCTAAAAGTTGTAAATAACAGAAACGTCTGTCAACAGATGAATGAATAAAATATTATGTATATACATTTGTTTGTTTTATATATATACATTTCATATATACAATGTATATATACATGTAAATGTATGAAATGGATTATTACCCAACCTTAAAAATAGATTAAATTCTAATCCATACACAATATGGATGAGCTTTGAAAACCTGGTAACCGAAATAAGCTGGAAACAAAAGGCAAACATTGTATGATTCCACTTAGAAATACCAAGAATAGACAAATTTATAAAAATGTAAAGTAGAATAGAATTTACCAGGAGCTGGAAAAAGGAGAGAATGGGGAATGATTGTTTAAATGAACAAATTTCCTATTTAAGATAATTAAAAGTTCTGGAAATGGGTAGTGGTAATGGTTGTACAACAACATGAATCTACTTAATGCCACCTAGCTGTATGCTGAGAATTGTTAAAAATGATCCATTTTGTGCTATATATATTTACCACATTGAAACAAAACTAAGAAGTTTTTAATAAATCATATATGTTTATGATTTCTTATTTTAAAGAAAAATTTTAAATAATAGAACAAACTTTGATCTCAATTAAATCGTATAAAAAGGCTTCTACATACAAATGCCACTACTGAAAACTACTGTGTCCAGAAGTCAAGGAAATGAGTAAGAATTCAGAGGAAATTCTGTTCAAAGACAAAAGAATAGCTCTAGTTGGAAAGTCCCTCAGGCTAGGGACCAAAACGTTACCAAAAAGTGATGTGCCATAAATTTGGTTAATAACTACCACTATGTTTTCAGATCTTTTTGATGGGTCTGATCCAGTTTCTTGCTCAAAATAAGCTAATCTATTATAATCAAATCTCCTGACTTCTTTTTGTTCAATTATTTCTTCCTGTGTTCTTACGAAACTTCATTTTATCTATTAATTTTGGACAGAACATTTTTGGGAGGGATGTTCTTAGGAAAGAAAATGGTCATGTTGTTTACTACCACTGATCCCTTTCTTATTAAAAAAAAACAAGAAAAAACTCTAATTTTGTTAGTAATAGCAGCACAGTCATCTGAAATCTCACATTCGTAGCCTCTCTTGTGTAGAGAAATATCTATGTGACACAGTCTAGCCAGTAAGATAGGTGGGAGGATTTCTGAGGAAACACAGTTTTCCTAATATAAGACCATCCCTTCCTCCTTGTGACTTTTCTATCTTTTCTCTAAATAGATGGTGGTAACAAGATTGGAAATAACTGCCATCTTGTTGTCATTAGGTGATCATGAGAATAAATCCACACACCAAAGAGAGCAGAAAAGAGAGACGGAGCCTGAAAAATGTTTG
The DNA here is from genome assembly GCF_000001405.40 of Homo sapiens. Classification (NCBI taxonomy): domain Eukaryota; kingdom Metazoa; phylum Chordata; class Mammalia; order Primates; family Hominidae; genus Homo; species Homo sapiens. The sequence continues at coordinate 104,260,026 of NC_000011.10, read as the reverse complement.
AAACTGCAGCACCAGTGCTCCAGGATTGCTACAGTGACCTTAAACTGCCTAACCCTGGACTTCTTGTTATAGGAGAAACAACAAAACTTATTTTATTAAGTCTCATAGTCAAAACTCCATAGCTTGTAGTTGAAATCAATCCTAAAGCAGTTTGGGATCCTTTAAATTACATTTTTAAATTCTACTAGAGTTGTGGCAGCTTTTAAAAAGTCCAACATAGATCAAGCAAAGGAATTGTAAAATAATGCCTCCGGTGAAAGGTCAAAGCAAAAATAATTCTCAAGACTTTAAAAATGCACTTAAAGGACTCAATAATTTTGTAAGATTCTCTTAAGGAAGATACGGTTAATAACACCAAAACAAACAAACAAATAAAAGGTGGACAAATAATGGTATTCATGGCAGGATGGGACAGGAAGATAAAATCTCTTGAATTACAAGTCACATGTGTCTGGCCAATAACACGCATGCAACAAAGGCACTGCCCTCTTTGTCTGTGTTGCTGGCCCTGCAACTCCTCCCATCTCTGAACACTCGAGATCTGATTAGAAGCCTTCATTATTGGCTTTCATTCAGTTTCCTTATCTGGGAAGCATCATCCAAATATTCCCAAGTGAAAAGGAAGACTCAAGTTGACAGTGGACACTAGTTCATGACAGCATGCCCGTATGATGAGTGATTTCCTAAAAAGAAAAATACAAAACAAAAAAAAAAACAGTGATGGAATATGCACTGGAATTCTCTTTGGAATATTGCCCACCACCTTTTCTCTGCTGTACAGGCCAATCTTTTACTACCTCCACAACAGAGACCCATTTAAGGAAACTGGAAACATGGACCAAAAGAAACTTATGCCACATTTTAATCGAGTAAATGTTACACACACACACACACACACACACACACACACACACAGAGAGAGAGAGAGAGAGAATGAATGAGAGTGAGAGAGCGCTCACTGGTCTAGGGTAAGTCCTTAGAACAGAGCTACCTCTAGTTAACCCATAGACTTTACTTTTACTCATAGAGTTAGCTAACAGGGCAAACTCCAGGAAACTCAAATATTTTAAACAATGCAATAGTTTACTCTGTTATCTATTCCCAACAATTAGTGTCACTATACTGACCTGAAGATAATTGGCTGTAATTTCATGTCTCCCATCATAATCAGGGATGTTTCTTTGATCTGTATAAAGGTATACTGTCAGTCATAATTCCAGGGCCACATCAAGTACCCCATAGGACACCATGTTCATCATGTTCAGAATGATTGGGAAGGAATTTTTGGTGTTTTCTCTAAATTATCTGAAGCCTGGATGATGAAGGACAAACTATATTGAGTAAAACACTGATTCATCGCTCTGCATCCACTGAGGTTGCATTTTCAAGCACTTTCAAGATATAATTAGCAATGAGTTTGCCCACGAGGCATTTTTTTCTTTAATTTCTGGCAAGTGTCCTCTGGGTAAGGTGACCATGCTATTACTTGAACTCAATTTCCTGATGAATGCCCTCTGCTGTAACGTTTCTGAGAATCAGACATCAGCTCATAAGGTGCCCAGCTACCTGGGGGGATAGTGGGATCTTTTGGACATACTGGATTATTTTACATTCGGAGCCACTCCCTCACTCTGTGTGTGTGTGTGTGTGTGTGTGTGTGTGTGTGTGTGTGTGTGTGTTTTCTTAGTTGAAAGGTTGAAAGAGCATGAGAAAAAGACAGAGAATGTTCTCCAAACAATCCAACTATTTAAAAAATAAAGTTGCCCAGGCGGACACAAACTGCTCTCCGGAGTCAGAAAAAAAAAAAAAAAGTGATTTGAGCACAAAGCTTACTTCTCCCTCTGCAGACAGCTCCTTTCTAAATCCAGTATTATATCTCCCACTGGAATTCTTGCATTAGCCATTTTCACATCAAAATATTTATTACCAAGCACCTTCTGTCCCTGAACATACCCGTATCACTCCTATCTTAAAAATATCTTCCTAGAAATTGCAAATGATGCAATATTTTGCTCTGTCCCCCTACATTTCATGCCCAGAATTATTAAAAGATCATGCTCTTCTCCCAGCCTTTGATTCCTCACCATCCAATTAAAACATAATCCCTTGCAGTCTGGTTTCCACCTCCACAATTGCTAAAACTGCATTTTCAAATATCAGGGAATGAAACAGCTGGTCCTATGTCTCAACACAAATCCCTCTCCTCCCTCATCTTCATTAACTTCGCACTGTCCATGCCTCCTACTCCAAGACTACTGATCTCGCTGTCCTTTCCAGCTCTGCTGCCCCCTCTGTATCTCTAAATATATTCATTCTCAAAGTTTGATGATTGCCCTTCTCCTCTTTTTTACAGTTTTCATTTGACAGTTTCACAGCCTATGGGGATTGTAGTCAATTCCTTCGTACTAAAGACTCCTAAATCCATTCCTCTAGCCTTACCCCTCCCCAAACCCCGGATAGACATTTTCAGCTCCCTGAAACAATCTCTACAACGGGTATTTCCAATGAAATGTGAGCAAAAATATCACATCAACTCCTCTCTCTCAGTCTCCTCCTCGGCTCCTCAAATAGATGTTTTTTGTTTTGTTTTGTTTTTTGACTTCTGGTTAATGAAGTTTAGTTTGCTCTTAATTATGCAGCTCAAAATATTGCAGGTAAATCTCAGGGATTTTGCTTCTCATGTGTCTATTGGAGGGTCTCTTCAGCCCCACTGTTACACACACATGCACACACACCCATCAGACCCCTCAACTCACACCTAGGGCACTCTCTCAATGCTCCAATATAGTGACACCATTACTTGATTGCCTTTCTGAAAGAGTAGATCTAGCCATGTTTGTACACCTGTTCACAAACTCCTCAATCCGTATTTTGACTCCAAGTCACCTATATGTCTTTGTCTTATCTTCCTGATACCTACTGTAAGTTTCAAATAAAGTGTACCAATTTCTATTCCTTGAATATGGCCTAGATATCTCTTCTTTAATCCCTTTGTTTAATTCTGTTTATTCTGCCTATAATTTTATCCAAACTCCACCTATCGGAGCGTATTCACCCATCAAGGTCCATCTCAAAGGCCATAAGCTCCCTGAAGCTTTTCCTGATTTCTGCACAGTCATTATGCCTTCTCTCAGCTCTCTGTGCCTTTTTGCTTCCACTATCTTAAGCATATTGGTATTTTTTTAATTTGTCACTTGTTTTTGTTTGACTTTCTTCAATCTACAAATAACTTTTCATAAATTGCCTCATCTTCATTTAGTGTAAAGGATATAGGAGTGGAGTCATGAAGAACTGTGTTTTAATATCTTCTTCCCCACCTAGTGGTTGTGTGAATAAGTTGAGATGAGAAAATCCTCCGTAAAGTGGAGCACCCAGATCAAATTCAGGTTTCATGGATCTTCATACAGTTCTGATTCCATCCCACCCCAATGCTACATCTCACTCCCTCTCCCTACTGCAGAGTCTATCACAGAAGCATGCAATACAATAGAAACCCACCGGAATTTAAAGTGAAAACAAAAATTGATTTCAATGTTGGAAAGCAGATACCTTAAATGAAGCTCTGTAAACATCCCTTTGCAGTTAGACAGGCTTGAGAACTTGGGATATGCTACTAGATAGTTTGTATAGTCTCCTTGTCCCATTTAAAATTCATTTTAAAATATATTTAAATATGAATATTGTTCAACCAAGACTACACTTTCTACACAGAGTCCTATCCCATTCCCATCTCCCGCTCACTCTGGTTTACACCCAACCTCCTTTAGCCATTTAAATTATCTGCAATGCCGCCAAAACTCCGTATAGGTTTTTAATCTTTGGTCTGTGTCTATATTTAAGGAAAAGAAAAAAATCAAGAAGAGTTCCAGAATACTAATTAAGTAAAATAAAATCTTCAATTAGTTAAAAAGAGAGAAATAAACAAGAATCACAGTTTCAAATAATTTTTCCATTCCTTAGAAGACAAAATTTGAGAACTCAAAAATATTAGTGTTCAAGCCTCAGTGGCCCCTTGTTCATAAAGAACTTTCTTTCTTCCTCATTTATACTCTAATAATGCTTTGTATGTCTCTTTAAGAGGAAAAAATATCACCTAACCTCTGAGCTTCAGTTTCCTTATCTATAAGTAATTTTAGTAATTTTACCTACCTTACTGGATTTTCAAGACTAAAGGAGATATGTAAATAAAATGCTTAGCATAATGGCTGACACATACTTGAAGGAGTTGTGTATTACTTAAAAGTCTACTTTTCTTGCTTTTCCAATAGACAACAAACTCCTTGAGCACAAAGTCTTTTTTATGAGCTTGTTATACTGCTCAGTACCTAGCACTGTCTCTTGCACATAATATGTTCTCCATGAACAGTTTTTTATTTATTAATTAACTCGTGGGGATGAGGAGGAAATAATACGTCAGAAATATGTAGAGAGTTTCTGAAAATTCATAGGCTAATTCCCAACCCCAGATATGATGGTTCAGTCAGTCTGGGTTAAAATTTGGACACATTTGTTAATGCAGATATTCCTCAGATGATAATTACAACTATCATTGTTTGAGAACTATTGGTCTAAGTCAACTGGTCTGATTCTCAAGCAAAACCATCTTTGATTCTAATCCATATATCTCTACTTCTTACCTCATTCCGTTCGTTTTTGGGTCTTTATACCATACCTCACTCTTAATTGGATTCTGCATGCAATGATCAAATAACCTGCTGTTCATTTACATTTGGATTATTGTTTGCACAGATTACACATTGGTGTATCACCTTTTGGATTGTTCTCTGCATGTTGGGTCCAATGATATATTTTTTTTATCTATAGTGTAGCATCCCTACCATAGTAAGTGCTCTTGGGGATGTAACTAATTACTTCTCACATTACTCCCTGGCAACACAACAAAATAACTTATGCCTAAGGATACATCCATGAGGCACACTTCTCCAAGAACAGCCAAGAGCATATTCTATTAAATCTCATTGAATATCAGAGATTAAAATTACTTTTTAAAAACTTATTGATGATTCCATGTAACCTAATTATTTCCTAAGAGTATTAACCAAGAGATAGAAGTTAAACAATGTTTAATATAAAGAAATATTTACAATATAAGTGAATTACCTACTGGGGTGGGGGGAATAGCATTCAGAACTCTGAAGAACAGGAAAGCAAGAAATAAAGGGAGCAGTCGCACCTCGAGGACCAAAGCAGAGTGTTCAATGAAGTCGCCAATCTGGAAGAGCCCAGACATTGTTGGAAAGGATGTAGGTGTAGGCCTTGGATGACAGGGACTTCTGTGGAGGTGCTGCGTGGTGGACCTCGCTGGAATCTATCCTCCCGGGTCTGAGAAGTCTTCCACTGGAAGGTGCCAGCCTGCCCTCCGGGAGTCAGCTAGTAATGAGCACACCCCAAACCAGGAAGAGCCCCTCTCTCCTCCAGTGTCCTTCCAGCGCCCTCTATTGGTGAAGCCGGACAATGAAGGGTGACTATGGAGCTGAGAGGCCTGGGCTGTTACTGATGCACTAAGCAACTGAAATTCCGAATGTACTTATGTACTTGCTTGAGATTAAAGACTGAGTTAGTGACAGAGCAGGGACAAAAACTGCTCCCAGTCCGAAAACCCTTTGCATTATATCATTGTGGTTAGATAATCCTGGAGTTGATTTTGAAGAAGAGAGGGGCTGGGAAACATTCCAGGAAGAGTGCCTCATATGTTCCAAGCTCTTACAATCTCAATATAGCCTTCATAATAGGTCTTATTCTTTTTTAACTCTTTGTTGTTGTATAGACAATGCAATTGAAACTCAGAGAAGTGAAGTCACTTGATGGTCATATAGGAAATATGTGACAGTCAGGATTTGCTCTCTGGTCTGACCTCAAAGTTCATAATCTTTTGATTATACTGCATTACAGAAAAAAGTGCACTAGACTGTGATGGGAAAAAACATTGAATTTATGTTTTTAGTTGTGACAGATTACTTTTGCACTTTAGTCATCCAGTTCAAATGAGTTAATTAGTTTTTCAGGTCTCTGAATGAGAGAAAACAACATCGCAGTCCACAAAGGCATGGCAAAGCAGTGTTAAAAATGTGGAAGCACATCAAATACAAAATCCATAGAATTATATGAAGAAATAGGTTTTTCAGCAAGTGAAGTATCTTAGTTTATCATGAACCAAATTGTCTAATTTGCATCTGTGACTTTTTTAAAACATTATAGCTCGCAGTGAATAATTAATTGATTTTAAGTCAGTTTGGTTCAGTTGGAGGCTACTCTAACTTAGCATGAATATAAAAATATACACATTTTAAATAATACATTTGCAAGAAATAACTGGTTCCAAAAACCTCTACCTAGTATTGAATAATTCTGGCAAGATACTTTGATATTGTTTTTTATTGAGACAGAAATTATTTCCAACATAGGTAAAAGAAAGTTTATGTGTTATTGGTCAAAAGCTGCCATTGAACTTATTGCTCTAAGTATTTTTTCATAATTTAAAATTGATAATGTAGGCATTGGTTATTTCAGTAAAATGGGTTATCAAAGGCTTAGTTTGACTAGAAGGTTAAAAGGAGCTAAAATCTAGAACTTGCTGTTAGTCGTATACCAAATGCTAAGCACTCCTTTGCAAATGCAGGGACCAGGTAGTAACCATAGTTTCCATTGTAAAGCCTGGACATAGACTGACAGCATCAAAACTTATCATTTGTATCATCTGTGAAGACAGCACCATCACAAAACTAAACCACATGGGTTTCAAATTACTTCAGCAAGGCACATGGTAGTAGTGGATTGTGTATCTTAAACTATCTCTGAGATTTACTTTACACATACATGTAAAGGACCTTGGCCTATTAAATAAGACTATTTCTTAAAATAGAGTGACAGTCCCAATTCTCTTCAAATTTCTGAGTACTCAAATACAAGAAGACAAAAATACACTCATGCTTTAAGGTACTGAAGATGCCTAGAATCCCATCAAGCTCTCAGTGAGGACCAGCTCTCATTGATTTCTCTCTCTTTCTCTGAATTCTCAAACTAAAATTACAGTACTTAAATTATGCAATTTTATATTGCTTGCTACAATTTATTTTGTCTCACCCATGCATTCAAAATCAGAACATAAAAGATAAAATACTTTTTAGTCTGTATATCCCTACAACTGTCTTGAACCCAGAGAAGGCTCTCAATAAATATCAGTAATGTGTCGTTTGCCTCTTTTAGGGGATGAGAGTATATGTGTACTCACAGACTACAATTATAAGTCACTATATGTGTTCATTCATTTATTTTATAACTCATATTAATTTATGGCACCTGCCCTAATGGAGCTGTATGCTGACAGATTATGGTAAGTGTGATGAAAAAGTCGAAGTTTCCCATCCAAGTACTAACCAGGCCCAACCCTGCTTAGCTTCCGAGATCAAACGAGATCGGGTGCAAGCCCGCATCGCCAAGTCAATCCTAAGCCAAAAGAACAAAGCTGGAGGCATCACACTACCTGACTTCAAACTATACTACAAGGCTACAGTAACCAAAACAGCATGGTACTGGTACCAAAACAGAGATATAGATCAATGGAACAGAACAGAGCCCTCAGAAATAACGCCGCATATCTACAACTATCTGATCTTTGACAAACCTGAGAAAAACAAGCAATGCGGAAAGGATTCCCTATTTAATAAATGGTGCTGGGAAAACTGGCTAGCCATATGTAGAAAGCTGAAACTGGATCCCTTCCTTACACCTTATACAAAAATCAATTCAAGATGGATTAAAGACTTAAACGTTAGACCTAAAACCATAAAAACCCTAGAAGAAAACCTAGGCATTACCATTCAGGACATAGGCATGGGCAAGGACTTCATGTCTAAAACACCAAAAGCAATGGCAACAAAAGCCAAAATTGACAAATGGGATCTAATTCAACTAAATAGCTTCTGCACAGCAAAAGAAACTACCATCAGAGTGAACAGGCAACCCACAAAATGGGAGAAAATCTTCGCAACCTACTCATCTGACAAAGGGCTAATATCCAGAATCTACAATGAACTCAAACAAATTTACAAGAAAAAAACAAACAACCCCATCAAAAAGTGGGTGAAGGGCATGAACATACACTTCTCAAAAGAAGACATTTATGCAGCCAAAAAACACATGAAAAAATGCTCACCATCGCTGGCCATCAGAGAAATGCAAATCAAAACCACAATGAGATATCATCTCACACCAGTTAGAATGGCAATCATTAAAAAGTCAGGAAACAACAGGTGCTGGAGAGGATGTGGAGAAATAGGAACACTTTTACACTATTGGTGAGGCTGTAAACTAGTTCAACCATTGTGGAAGTCAGTGTGGCGATTCCTCAGGGATCTAGAACTAGAAATACCATTTGACCCAGCCATCCCATTACTGGGTATATACCCAAAGGACTATAAATCATGCTGCTATAAAGACACATGCACACGTATGTTTATTGTGGCACTATTCACAATAGCAAAGACTTGGAACCAACCCAAATGTCCAACAATGATAGACTGGATTAAGAAAATGTGGCACATATACACCATGGAATACTATGCAGCCATAAAAAATGATGAGTTCGTGTCCTTTGTAGGGACATGGATGAAATTGGAAATCATCATTTTCAGTAAACTATCGCAAGAACAAAAAACCAAACACTGCATATTCTCACTCATAGGTGGGAATTGAACAATGAGAACACATGGACACAGGAAGGGGAACATCACACTCTGGGGACTGTTGTGGGGTGGAGGGAGGGTGGAGGGATAGCATTAGGAGATATACCTAATGCTAGATGACAAGTTAGTGGGTGCAGCACACCAGCATGGCACATGTAAACATATGTAACAAACCTGCACGTTATGCACATGTACCCTAAAACTTAAAGTATAATAATAAATAAAAAAAAAAAGAAAAAGTCGAAGTTAATGAGAGAAGGCTACTGGGGAAAGCCTTTTGGGATAGTGCCATTGGGAAAGCCCTCTAAGGGAGAAGACATTTGAACCCAAAGCTAAAGGAAGAGAATGAGCAAAGCAATCATGTAAAAAGCTAAGAGAAGAAAACTCCAGGAACAGGGAAGAGTGCAAAGGTCAGAAAGTAGATGAGCTTACCTAGCAAAACTTTTTTTAAAACGTAAATAAAAATACATAACTTGAAAAATCAAGGGAATCTTGGTGAACACAGATAATGTAAGTAATCTAGTCAGAAATAAATGGTTGATGTTTTACTTTTTCTCATATTATTTAAGATTGAAGTGCCAGGATACCCACAAAAATCTTCAGTAAAAATAATTATTTTGATCAAATATCATCTCATGTTCAATCTTTGCTATTTGCTTATAGTTGCTATGTTATGGATAGAATTCAGACATTCCTGATTTCAAGGATATTGTCATATATCCCTCATTTGTGTTTGGAGTATGTAGATTTCTTTAAGAGGAGGCATGTTTATTTTGAGTTAAATAAGTGAGTCATTTTAAGTGTGTCCCTCTTTAATAGATAGGTAATAGTCAACAAGCCTTTCTGAAGGACATAATGCATGCAAATGTTGTTACTAATTTATACCAACCATGTAATTTCAAATAAATGACACAAACAAAAAGAAATAAGACATTCCACCAGTCAAATCTTTTTCCTTATTTTATAGTCAATTTCTTGTTAGCTATAACTCAAAATACAGTTCCTAAAGGGCTTATAAACAAATTAAACTGTGCTTATCATTATTTAACTTGACTTTTTTTTAAAGCCTAATTGCATCATGTAAAAACAAATCAATTTTTCACTCTGCTCAAGTTAAATTAACTTTGCTTGACTGGTTATATTTTCAGAAAGGCAAAACAAAGTTGAAAATTGTTGCTGTGGTGATGAGAAAACCTCCTAATTTGTTTTGTCAGAGCTTTTACATTGTGTTAAAAGTAAGTATAGTAATTAGCCTTCATTTCTCTAGCAATTATTGCCAATTTCCTGTACAATTCCATTTCAATATCTGATGCTATAATAATGCCAATTTAAAAAATTAAATCTTAAAAATGGAAAATGAATTATCAAATATAGAATTCACGGTGAAGGAAATAAGGCCTCCATTAAATAATAAGTAGCTTTGTGCCCTTTGTCTAAAAATGCCTCAAAAATAACTGAGTTCATTCGAATTTATATTATCAGTATTAAATACAATAATGTTTCATAATAATCTACATAGAGCTTCTATATTCAATACTTTATTTCACCCACACAAGAATTCTGAAAGATAATTTGTATTGTTTTAATTTCACAGAAGTTAATATGAATAAACAAGATAAATACCCAGGTTCCTGTTTTTTATTGTTTTAGTTTTATTTTATTTTTAATTAAGAACTAATAATTATATTTATGTATGGAGTACAGTGTGTTGTTTTGATACACGTATACATTGCAAACTGATAAAATCAGGCTAATTAAAATATCTATCACCTCAAATACTTATAAATTGTTTGTGGTGAGAATATTTTAAATCCATTCTTTTAGCTCTTTTGAAATATAAAATATATTAAGTATAGTCACCGTGCTTTGCAATATATCACCAGAAGATATTCCTCCTGTCTAATGAAAACCGTCTCCATGGACCAATATCTTCTCTTTCCAGTCCACCCTACTCCACCCCACCCAGCCTCCAGTAACCACCATTCTGTTCTCTGCTTTTATGAGTTTTACTTTTTTAGATTCCGCCTAACTTAGGCTCTTTAACACATGTTCCTCCATGATCTTTTCCACATCCTTCAGTTACATTTTTATGAAGATGATCTTTCAAAAGTGTTGATCTGATAGAAGAATTTATTTTGAAAATCAAGATTCTCGCACATTATTTTATAACTGGTAAATAAACTAAATACAAAATTTAAGCTATATATAGAGAGAGATTTTAATTAAATCATCTAAAAACACTTACTGAGATTGGTACCGGGATATGGTATTAAAAGATATAATTCCTCTTCCCAACAATATAGTTTGCAGTAGAAACAATTAAATAAATAGTGGCATTACAGAGATAAAAGCAGTGATACTTGTATGCCAAGTTGTGGTAGAAACAAATAAATAGTTGCGGTAGAAACAATTAAATAAATAGTGGCATTACAGAGATAAATGCAGTGATACTTGTATGCCAAGACACTATAGGACTATTAATTAGGGTTGTCCAATTCAGGATCTGGGACAGATGTGATAACTTCTTCCTTAACAGGTTGATACTAAGGCACAATCTTGAATAACTTAGTAGTTATCCAAGTAGAGACAAGAAAAAGGAACTTCTGAAATGGTATCGGAAGAGTAAAAACAAAAAGGCATGCAATTTTGTAGTTTGTTGTCATGTCTAAATGTATTTGAAATGCCTGGAACATAAAACTCAAGAGAGGATTTGGCAGGAGCAGGGCAAGAGGCCATTGAGGCCAGGTCATTAGGTTCAATGCACTAGGCTGAGATTGTATCTTCTCGTCATCCCTAATGGGTTTGTTTATGATTAAACACCATATATTAGGGTGGTACAAAAGTAATTGTGGTTTTTGTCATAACTTTTAATAGTTTACGTATTTGAGAGTGACATTTTATTTTTAATTGGCTACTGATGTACTTTACAGAAGTATTGATTGTATGGATTTAATTTACAAAAGATTTATTTCTACATTGTACAATTCTAAACAACCAAGCAATTTAAAACAATGGAAGGAAAACCCTTCTCTACATTTTCATTTTGCAGTAGTAAATGTTAAGTTACATGTTCTTAATTTTTCCTACACGTGTGTTTGAGTGAAAGTCTGTATATGTATCTCTCTATCAATCATTAAAATAAATGGGATAATTCTTACTTTTGATATTACAAATTTTTTGACCTAATTTATTGTCAGTTTTTTGACCTATAAATTTTTATTTCAATTTGCTGTAATGTATCCAAAAAGTGGTGTAAGTTGCCTACTGCCACATTATTTTAAGCTCAGAGATAAGAAACACGGAAATGAGGTCAAGCATCTGAAAGACTGCTGTGCAAATCATTCACTTTCTTTTTATTTCAATTTTCTAATTTATTGTAGATGTTTTTCACTCTTTCTAGTTTCTTCTCTTTAAAGGGTGCTAGTGTTAGATTATGTGACTATATTATGAGGATTTGTTCAACCCCTAAAATAAACATTTTGATTGTTTCCACCATCGCTATTATAAAAGTATTTTAATAGACATCCACAAGCATTGATATACATCTGTGTGTGTAAGTTTTACATAGAGTAAATTCGTAGCTTTGGCAATGCCAAGTTAAAATTCCTACCCGTTTTCAGTTTCGATTGAAATATTGTCTAATTGCTCTCTAATTATTTGTGTGAATTTTCACTCTGTGATGTCATTTCAGATTACAAGTAAAACTGTTCCCATCTAGTTCTGTCCAAAGATCAATATGCCATAATAAATATAACAAGATGCCATTTTTATAGCACTTTTGTGCTTACAGATGTTTTTACACATATTAATAGTATATTATAATATTAGAGTCAAACAAAAATATCCTGAAAGATGAGAAAAATTATTTGTGGGCTTTTGTTTTTTTTGTTTAACAGAGAATAAAACTAACTCTTCTCAACTAAAGCCAAGCTCCAGCTATAAATTCCATAACACTACTTCCATCACGCTATCTCGAATACAAATGTAAATAGACACACTATGGGTTGTTCACATTTCTTCTGCTCTCTTTCAGTCCCACTGAAAAACTGTGGTGAATCATTGTTTAAAAGCAACTCTGTCCATATAGACCCTAAATGTTAATGTATTATGAAAGAATAAACTAGTTTTAAATATCAGCCTTTTGGAGATACAAAAAAATATTCTCATCTTGAAGCAGTAGTTATAAAACCTCATGCACCATTTTTTTAATTGAAAGATGACTATTTCTATTTGAATTTGAAGCAGTAGTTATAAAACTTCTTGAACTTTTTAAATTGAAAGATGACTATTTCTATTTGAATTTACTATTTATTAATATATGAGATGATTGGAGAGAAAGCTTTACAATAAATGTATTTAGCTAAAGCAATTTTTCTTTCAATTAGCTATAATGTATCTAAAAAGTAGTGTAAGTTTCCTACTGCCATGTTACTATAACCTCAGAGATAAGAAACATGGAAATGAGGTGAAGCATCGGAAAGACTGCCCTGCAAATGATTCATTTTCTTTCCGTGAATGAAGCCACAGAGTTGTCAATGAAAGTAGAGGTCAGACCTAGTAAGCAGTTAAAGGTGTGAAAGTGATAATAAGTTAATGTACCTGGCAATGGTGTCATTAAATCAAGTCAGAGTTGCCGTCCAAGCTACCAAGGAATTAAAGGATCTGAAGGATTTCTTCCAACAGTTTCCTGACTCTAATAGTTGGAGGTCAGTGAGGGAAATAAAGAAGTAGAGAGAGATCTGAAGGCAGAAAGAGGTGTTGAAAGTCTAGATTAGCAGTTCAAAGGAAACTCTCCAAGGATAAAAGCAGTTCAAAGAAAATTCTCCAAGGATAAAAGCAGTTCAAAGGAAATTCTCCAAGGATAAAACTCCACTCTCAGAGTAAAAATGGAAGAGTGGGTCAGGAATCACTCACAGGCCAGGAGAAGACTTTCAGTGCAGTTTTCTTAGTGTCTGAAACAAATAGAGGAAACTAGGGTGTGATACCAAAGGGAGCAAGGCAAGGACTGAACTCAAGAAACAATGCCGAGAGACTAGATACATGTCCAAAAATTCATATAAAGCATAGCAAGATTGATGCAAGTCTAGGTGCAGATGGGAAAGTGAGGAGATAGAACAGGAAGTCTTCTAAGAGTTGCCCTGGGAATAAGTCTGAATGTACTCAAATTGACTTACACAAACTGGGTCTCATTACTTGAAATTCAGATTACAGGTCTTGCCTTTGTTTTCCTAGAGCAAAATATCTCTAGAACATCTATAGGAGCCTTTGGGAAGGCCTCTAATCCTAGGAAGTTGAGATTGAAATTTAACACAATTCAGGATCCAATACATGAAAAGTAAGGATTAAAGGAAAAGCTTAATGTTAGGTATTAAACACATACTAGGTATATAAAACTTATAGTAGTTTTACACTATCAGATTGCATCTTTGTCTTTATTCTAAGGATCGGTTGTTTCTCACACTCTCTTTACTTTTTGAGTTTTCTAAATTTTCCACAAAGAACAATAAACATGCATAACTTTTGTAACAAGGATAGTTATAAATATTTTGAAATAAACTTTGTTGAGGTATAATGTCCATACAATAAAATGCAACAAATTTCTATGAACATCAATAAGTTTTGATGAGTTTATTGCACCCTTGTGACCACTACCACACTTCCAGTATAGAATAGTTGTATCAACCCCTAAAGTCCCCTAGTGTGTCTTCCAGAACAATAACCTTCCACCCTCGACTGCAAGCAACCACCAATTTACTTTTGTCACTAGTGATTAGACTGCCCTATTCTAGAGCTTTTAGATAAATGGAATCATACAACCTAACCATACGTATCCTTTTGTTTCTGTCTCTGTTTTGTTTTGTTTTGTTCTTTCTTTGTGCTCAATATAATGTTTGTAACGTTCATTCATATTGCAAGTAGAAGTAGTTCATTTCTTCTTATTGTTGGATAGTATTCCATTGAGTGAATAAGCCATAATATGTTTATCCAGTCACATGTCGATTGGCATTAGGATTATTCTCAATTTGATACAATTGAGAATGAAGCTGCTTTAAAAATTTATTTGCAAGTCTTTATGTGGACATGTTGTTTTAATAATTTCAGTCTTAAAAATACTAAAGACTGGAAATCTGTTATAATATATATGTATGTTTATAAGAAACTGATAAACTACTATCCCATTTTATATTCTCCTCAGCAGCATATGAGTATTGCAGTTGTAACACATGCTTGACAAACTTAGTATTTCAATATTATCAATGTTTACTATTCTTATGGGTGAGTAATGGTGTATTATTTTTGACAATTTTATTTAATGACTAATGATATTCGGCTTCTGTTCATGTGCTTATTATTCCTTTGTATATCTGATATTTTATTTTGCGATGTGTCTAAAAATCTTGCGTACCTTTCTTAAATTGCATTGTTTAAATATTAAGTTGCAACTTTAAAAAAAATATTATGGCTACAAGCTCTTTGTCACATACTACAAGTTTTTTCTTCCAGTGTGTGATTTGCCTTATTATTTTCGTAACAGTGCCTTTGGAAGAACAGAGGTTTTTAATTTTGAGGATGCCCAATTAATTTTCACATACAGACAGTGCTCTCATAATTCTGTGTAATAAATTTTTGCTAAATATGTCAAAGGAACAGAGAATTGTCAATCTCTGTTAGCAAAGTGATTTTCCTAAGTACATTCCTTCTTGCCACCAATGGAGAAATTCACAAAGGGATAGATCCTTCGGATTGGGTAGCTGTCTATGTATTCTCATTTTTTCAATGCAGTTCAAACTTGTTATTCCACCATAATTATTAATACTTTTTTAACTCTTTCAGGGATCCTGCTTTAAAGAGTAAAATATAGGTCACTACACAATCCTCCCCAGCTTTTTTGCCCTTGATATGTCTTGCAATGGTGCTATCATATCAAATATCCAAAATATGTTGAATAGCATCTAAAGATATGAACATGGATTTTTTTGGAGGGTAGACAGTCTTAACTTTTGCAATATGGAACAAAATATATAAAGGATAGCATGCATTTAATTTTAATGTTTTTTTAAAGGAGTGTATTGGAATATTCTGGGATACTTATCAGAGACTTTCTTGATGCTAATTTAAAGTCAGCCTAGCTATGTGTGTACTTGGAAGGATAAGAAAGAGAGAATTTGAAAAGACTGTGTGATAAGGTGAATAATGGCCCCAAAGATACCCAAGTCCTAATCCTGGGAAACTGTGAATGTTACTTATACAGCCACAGAGATTTTGCAGATGTGATTAAGTTAAGGATCTTGAGATGGGGGTATTATTATCAAGGAATATTTATGGCAATCCTTGATGTAATCACAGTGTGATAAAAGAAAGTCAGAAATTTGATTACAGGCAAGAAAGCAGGAGATGCAAGAAAGGTAGCCAGGGTTAGAGTGATGCCCGGAAAGGGTCCCAGGTCAAGGAATGTAGGTGGCCACCAGAAGCTAGAAAAGGTAAGGAAATGGATTGTCCCCTGGAGCCTCCAGAAGAAAGCAACCCTGTTGACACCTTGACTTTGGCCCATTGAAAGTGATCTTGGACTTCTGGCATCCAGAACCAAAAGATAATTAATTCGTGCTGTTTTAAGAAATGAAATTGGTGGCAATTTTTAGAGCAGTCATAGGAAAGAAATACACCACTTTCTTACTTGAAGTATATATTTTAAACATGTTATATCAACCAATTCTCACTGGAACTCTATGAAGTAAATGGGATTACTTCTTATTAATGAGGAGACAGATGTTCAGAAGTAAAAATGACACAGTTCATGAGCCTCAGCACTTATTATTTGTCACACCTTGGGCTTCAATAATAAAGAAAGGTGCAAAAAACACTGAAACCAAAAGGACTAGAAATATACCAGAAGTCAAAATCAAGCAGGCCTATTGTAAAATGCTTACACAGATATGAGATATAGTTCTAAAGCTCAATGTGTAGATGAGAACAAGCTTTGAGTGGGAACTATTAGGGACTTCTTTAATAAACAGTTTTGAAAGCAAGTGAACAGAAATGCATGATGTAATAATTAATAAAGATGCTTTGGCTAGAATGTATAATCACAGAATATCAGCCATTTACTTTTGAACAGGAAAGCTTCATTACTTTAGTTATAAACTTCTACCCAAAAAATACAGCATTTTGGATTATATAAGAATAATTGAATTTCAGAAGTGGGTCTTCTTCTATGTGAAGCTTTTATTAACATCAGCAGTAAAATTATGAGTTTTTTTGATAACAAAATTAAATGTGTCATGTATTGCATTTAGAACATAAAATCAACACATTTCCATAAAAAATATTTTAAATCATATTTGATACTTCAAATCGTGCCTGAAAATGTGTACAAGTTAAAAATATGAAGAAATTCTGACATATATGTGACAATCAGCTATCTTATTAATAGTCATGTCCTGTGTATATAACAGAATAACTGTAACTTCATAGCGTCAGGCACATGAAAGGAGGAAATTATTTACTGAAATACCAGGAAATTTGTGAGGCACCAAATAAACCTTTGGAGGTTTGACCCATAATGTTTCTAAAAGTAATATGTCATAAGTAGTAATGGAATTGATTTCCAATTATTGACAAGCCATTTACAAGAGGCAGCAAAATGTACTAATTGAAGGCATGAACGTGGAATCTTGTGTCCACTGTATATATGTGATGATGACTCTGGATGCATGTGGCACACAGCTTATGCCGCTGCAGATGGTAGCTCTGCCTGGTTCCTCATGAGCAAAGTAATGAAGCTCTCTGTCTCGGCTTCCTCTGCAAAATGGAGATAAAAATAACCCCTCTACCATGAGGTTGTAATTAAGAATAAATGACTTAGGTATGTGAGGCACTCAAAACACTACCTGGGACAGAGTAAGCACCGTGTGTTTCTATAAACATAGAAGTGCAGATATCTCTTTAATATAATGATTTTATTTTCTTTGGATATATACTCAGTAATCGTTTTTAATTATGGATTTCTCTAATACTCAAAATGAAAACTCACAAAATGTTAATTTACATATACCTGGAGTTACGCAACTATAATTTCTTTATGACACTTTCGGTATTTATGTGGTGGGGGTGAAAATGATTTGTTTTTCTTCTCTCCCAAGGGTGTAAGATGGAAAGACAGTATTCTTCATCTAGAAATTACACTCCCTTCTTCTTTTGTCTTTGAATGTCCACACCAGGCTCAGCTAGAGGTCAATGTGCTATCCATTGCACCACAAAGCCGTTACCTTTTGTCTTATCAACAGCAACTCTCTGCTTTAGGAAGATATTGTCAGATGAAATGAGTGTTTCAAATAAAATGAGCATGGTTCTTTTCACACCTAAATAACATATTTCCATACTAATCAAGACTACATAAATTCATTGGTCTGAGAATGAAATATGAGATTTGTAGAATTCAAATAAATATTCCTACAAAATGCTAAAAATGTTAATTTATTGAAGGTCATTTTCAAGGCACAGACTTTACTAAAACCAAAAGCTAATAACTTTAGGAATAAAATTATGACATAATATAATTGATGAATTGTTCACTTCTGTTGCTGAACTCAATCAAACATTTTTCTTTCAGATTGTAAGTCAGTAGTCTAATTTTCTCATGGAATATACCTCTTGCAGTCCAAAATCTATTTCCTGAAGGAATGAAGAAAAAGTCATATTAATACTATGAATGTATTATATGTGAAAATGCCTTTATAAGGAAGAGAAAATGTGAAACAGGAGAATACTCACAGAAATGAAAGGAATAGTTGAAGCTGTTTGGGCCCTACATTCCCAACTAACCAATCTCCTCTGATGCATGAATTTTGATATATGAGAGAAACAAGAAAGCCCACTTGGCATTTTACCTTCTGACTGGTACACATGGCATGCCCATTACTCTAAGCCTGCCATCCTTCACTAGCTTAATGATATATTGGCTCTAAGAGTAGAAAGTATATCATTTGAATGTTATAGCTTTGTCTCAGGAGCAAATACAGAGAATACCAAGAACACTTCAGCAGGCATTATTGTTTAAATTTTGGGCAACACATTTAAAAGGGCAAGCGAGATTACATTTAAGAACAATGTTAAGTATGCTCTAAGCAAAAATAAAATTTTCACTATAAATTCTTAAGGTACAAAATAGTCTGTTCATATTTGGGTCTTCTAAAAACTTTTCTAAGGAGAGTTTTTTAAAAAATGAATTCGAAAAAGGCACCACAATATTTACAGTTTTATGAATTTGCCACCGAAAACATCAGGTTTAAGTACCTTCTCAGTTGATTCAATTACAAAACCAAACATTTTTCTGTTTTGCTTTATTTCTAAAGAAACTACAGTACATACTATAAACCTTAATGAAAGGGCAAGAATTGGGAGTCCCCGGCCTCAACTAAAAATGAAGCATCAACAATATAAGCTGTCAACCCAATTTTCTACTGCAATCAGGGAAATGAAGAAAAAGATTCAGTAAATTAAGCTCTCCTAATCAAATTGCTAAAAATGTGTAGGTTTACTGAAACTCAAAGATGTTTGTCTGCCTTTTCAAAACACTAACAATCTAAATGTGGGATGCCAAAGGAATTGTATTAGTCAAGGTTCTCCTGAAAAATAGAACCAATAGGATATATATATATATAGCGTGTTTATGTATATATATACATGTGATATTTTTCCTTCTGTTTCTGGCTTCATATAACATAATGTCCTCCATACATACATATATACATATATATATATACACACACACACACATATATGAGAGAGAGAGAGGGGGAGAGAGAGAGAGAGAGGTTTGGGAGTTGGTTCACATGATTATGAATGATTATAGAGGCTGACAAGTTCTACAACAACAACAACAACAGTGTGAGACTCTACCAAGAAAAAAAAAAGAAAGAAAGAATAAAAGAGAAAGGAGAGAGAGAGAGGGAGATGGAAAATATCATCTGAAAGCTGGAGAACCAGAGAAGCTCATGGTGTAATTCAGTGTGAGTCAATGGCCTGAGAAGCTGAGGTAGGTGAAGGGATGCTGGTGTTAAGTCCGAGTCCAAAGGCCAAAAAACCAGGACCTCCAGAGCCTGAGGAGAGAAGACGGATGCTCCAGTTCAAGGGGAGTAAATTTGGCCTTCTTCCACCTTTTTGTTAGATTTAGGCCCTCAATGTATTGAATGGTGCTCACCCAATGTCATCACCATTGGAAGATGCCAGGTGAAAGTGATCTTTTTTATTCAGTATACTGATTCAAATGCTAATCTCTTCCAGGAATTCCTTCAAAGACGCACCCAGAAATAATGTTTACCACGTGTCTGGCCATCCCTTAGCCCAGTCAAGTTGACGTATAAGATTAACTATCACAAGAATTATACAATTTTTCTTTCTTATTGTTTTAAACATCATCAAAAATGAAAAAGAAATTATGGATAAGTCAAGGCACATTTTGAGTCACGCTAAATGCCTAATGTGTCTATGTTCAAGATCAAAATATTTTGATAAACTTTTCAAAATATAAAGGAGTCTAATAAACTTGGGATAAAATATATTTTATTCACTTTAATCCTTTGTCTTAGAAAAAAACTGCTTTCACAACAGAAAAAATAGATAAATTGAACTATATCAGAAAATGTTTTAATTATGCATCAAAAATTGGGCACACTATCAATAAAGTGAAGAGGCAACCCAGTGAATGGGAGAAAATATTTGTAAATCATATGTCTGCTAAGAGGTTAATATGCAGAATGTTTAAAGAAGTACTGGCGGGGCACGGTGGCTCATGCCTATAATCCTAGCACTTTGGGAGTCCAAGGCGGGCAGATTGCCTGTGCTCAGGAGTTAGAGACCAGCCTAGGCAACACGGTGAAAACCCATGTCTACTAAAATACAAAAGAAATTAGCCGGGCACGGTGGTGTGCGCCTGTAGTCCCAGCTACTCGGGAGGCTGAGGCAGGAGAATTGCTTGAACTCAGGGGGCGGAGGTTGCAGTGAGCCAAGATCACGCCAGTGCACTCTAGCCTGGGCAACAGAGTGAGACTCTGTCAAGAAAGAAAAAAAGAAAGAAATCGAGAGAGAGAGCGGAAGGAAAGAAGGAGGGAGAGAGGGGAGGAGGGAGGAAGGAAGGAAGGAAGGAAGGAAGGAAGGAAGGAAGGAAGGAAGGAAGTCCCACAACTTGATAACAAAGAAAAACCCCAACCACCTAATTAAAAATGGGCAAAGAACTTGAGTAAATATTATTCAAATAAAAAAGATATCAAAGGCCAAAAAGCACATGAAAAGGTGTTCAACATCACTAATCATTAGGAAAATGCAAATCAAAACCATAATGATATACTACTTCATACCCATTAGGATGGCTATTACAAAAAGAAAAAGAAAATACCCAGGTGTGGTAACACGACCTGTAGGCCCAGCTACTCAAGAGGCTAAGACAGGAGAATCACATGAGTTCAAGTCCAGGCTAAGCAATATAGAGAGATCTCATCTCTAAAATATATATATGGAGAGAAAATGATACATGTTGAGAAGAATGGGGAGAAATTAGAACACATGTGCACTGTCAGAAGAATATAAAGTAGTGTAGCCACTATGGAAAACAGTATAGAGTTTCCTCAATAAATTAAAATTCCTTGTTGGGGTTTATACCCAAAAGTGTTGAAAGCAAGGACTCAAACAGACATTTGTGCAACTGATGACAAAGTTAATGTGCACTAGTACTATAGATGCTCAAGAAGTCAAGACTATCAATAATGTTGATAGCAGCATTATTCACAATAGCCAAAAGGTAGAAGCAACTTAAATGTCCATCAACAGATGAACAGATAAATAAGATGCAGGAAATACATACAATGGAATATTATTCAGCCTTTAAAACAAATAAAATTTGGATACATTCTATTCATATAACAACATGGATAAAATT
Source organism: Homo sapiens (assembly GCF_000001405.40). Classification (NCBI taxonomy): domain Eukaryota; kingdom Metazoa; phylum Chordata; class Mammalia; order Primates; family Hominidae; genus Homo; species Homo sapiens. The sequence continues at coordinate 104,238,387 of NC_000011.10, read as the reverse complement.
TCAAGACATCATGCTAAGTTAAATAGACCAGTCATGAAAGAACTAAGGCTGTAATATTCCATTTATATGTGGTACCTAGATTAGTCAAATTCATAGAAACAGAAAGTAGAATGGTGATTGCCTGGGACTGGGAAAGAGGGAAATTCAGTTATTCATAGATTTAGAGTTTCAGTTTTCCAAGATAAAAAAGTTCTAGAGACTTTTCATGGTGATGGTTGCACAATAATGTGAATGAAATCAATGCTACTGAACTGTAAATTTAAAAATAGTTAAAATTGTAAGCTTCATGCTTTATATATATAATATAATCACAGTTAAAATATATTCTGCATTCTTGCTTTAGTAATATGGCAGATTTTGTTGTTTGGATTAAATTTTCTTTTTAATCAACAAAAAGTGCTGAATTAAAAAAAATTCATATGAAAAACATCACAGAATTGATCTTACGTACATTTATTCTCTCGGTGAGAGGGTTACACACAGCCCTGCTGTCTTGATGATAGGCAAATTCATGTGACTCTATATGGGCAATAAAAGATGAACAGAAAGATGAGATAGGGATCTCACCTATCCCTCTTTAATAGGAATGCCAGTTTCCATATAGCATTTACTTGTTAAGTCTGCATATCAGAGTAAAGACGACTATAGTTTCACAGTTCCTGGCATATAATGTAAATGAGAAACAAGTTCGTACTGATGTAAAATAGGGATGTTTGTTTTATCTATTATTTTGAGATAAACTAGTAAAAGCTGACTTGATGGCCTCATTTGACACTGGGAGCAGAGTCCAAATGTCAGAGCCTGTTTTCAGTGTGAGATTTCTAATAAAATAACCTCTCCATTTAAATCTTGGACTCCCACAAGATGAACCCTCAATGTGAGGATAAGCCAGAAGCAAACTACCTGCCCCCAACTCCATCTCCTGCAAACCTCACCACTGAGCACAGCAAGACATCAAAAATGAAAATAAACAAATAAATAAAACCTATGTTACCTATCTGGATCCGAAAACCTTTTGGCTTATAAAGGTTCTAAATTGATACTACCTACTAGATGTCTAGCAGAAGCAAAAGCACATTATCTCTGGAGGAATCCACTTTGATTGTAAACCTGAAACAAACCAAAGTTAATATTAAAAGGAAAATGATAAACTCATAGTCAAAGTTAAGTAAACATACAAGAAAGAAGGATGCCATGCTCAACAACTGGAAGAAAGGAGAGACAGCAGAAACAGATTTGAAAGGTTTCAATACTAAAATGCAACAGGATCATATTAAAACAAAAAAGATTACTATGTAAAATATGCAAAAGATAAGCCCCAAAGTATGCACAGAAAATAAAAAATTATATCTTAAAAACTAATATGTATATATGTGTATGTGTGTGTATTCATTTCTGATCAAGATGGAGAAACAGGACTTAGATTTACAACACTGCATGAAATAACTAAAAAATGAAATAAAATATGTGGAATAATTCCACTCAAGACATTGGACATCATGTGAAGAATAATCTCTCTGGGTCAGGAAGCAAATGAGGTGAACCTTATGATAACTAGATTGTCCCCTTTAAGTGTTCAGATGAGTACTGTATATGTAATGAAAGTACCTGAGGTCTGAGACAGAACCATCCAAAAAATATAAATGACATATGCCTGAAAAACACAGAGCTGGATATAATGCTTTCTTCCAACAGAGTAGGAAATCTCATAATTCAGAGAACAGTTGCAATAGTAAAAAATGTCTCACCTCAGTAATAATACTAATAATAAGAATTAGCTCACGCCTGTAATCCCAGCACTTTGGGAGGCCAAGGCGGACGGATCACGAGGTCAGGAGATCGAGACCATCCCAGCTAAAACGGTGAAACCCCGTCTCTACTAAAAATACAAAAAATTAGCCGGGCATAGTGGCAGGCGCCTGTAGTCCCAGCTACTTGGGAGGCTGAGGCAGGAGAATGGCGTGAACCCGGGAGGCGGAGCTTGCAGTGAGCCGAGATCCCGCCACTGCACTCCAGCCTGGGCGACAGAGCGAGACTCCGTCTCAAAAAAAAAAAAAAAAAAAAAAAAAAAGAATTAGCCCTAGCCTAAGCACAGGTCTGGTCTTACCTAAGAAAGTTCAAAAGACAAAAAAACGAACAAAAAAACAAACAAACAAAAAACCTCTTTACAACCAATTTGACCATGTCCAGAAATAATATCTCGATAATATTTACAGGAGTGTAATAATTCTAGCACATAGCGAGGTAAAATTCATAACATCTAGCATTCAATAAAAATTACCAAGAAGACATATAAGTAAGAAAATACAGCCCACGATGAGGAGAAAAATAACAAGATTTAATTAGTAGACAAAGAGACTAAAACGATGACTACAACTGTATGTTTAATATTCAAAAAAGTAGAAGGAATATTACACATGTTAATCAAGACATGAAGGAATAAAAAGCCCCAAAGTAAACTTCTAGAGCTAAAGATAGAGTATCGGAAATGAAAAAATGCACTGGATGATATTAAAGGCAGGTTATAGATTGTGAAAGAAAAGATTAACGTATTTGAAAAGCTAACAATAGAAAGCACTCAAAAGAAAAACAGGGACTGAGAAAGACACATGAAAAAAAAAACAGAAAAGACTTTCATGAACTTTGGGACAACTTCAACTTACAGTTAGAATCCCTCAAGGCTGGGCAGTGTGTAGAAGTGGAAAAGATCAAAACATTAAATAAATAATAATCAAATATTTTCTAAATTTGAGGAAAATTATAAACGCATGGATCCATAAATCTTGACAAACCCTAGCCAAGAAATATAAAGAAAACAACACCAAGGCATATGCTAATCACATTGCTTAAAACCAGTGTTGAAGAGAACGTCTTAAAAGCAGCCAGGGGTAGAAGACGTTACATAGACAGGTGCAAAGATAAGGTTGAAAAGCAAACTTCTCATTCAAAGTAATGCAGCCTTGAAAACACTGAAACAATATTTTAAAGTATTAAAAAATTGTCAACCTAAAATTGTTTACAGTTTGAAATATCTTTCAAAATAAAAGCAAAATAAATGTTTAGACATATGAAAGTTGGAAATATTTATCACCAGCAGAAATTGATATCTGTTACAAAACCTCCTCAGGCAGAAAAAAAAATACTAAATAGAAATTTGAATTTTCACACCAGAAATGCTAACTGCATATGTAAATATGAATATTTTTTACTTAAATCTCTTGAAATATAATTTATTTTAAATCAAAATGATGACAATATATTGTGGAATTTGTAATACAATAAATATATACAATAAATGCTAAAGCAACCACTGAAAACACAGCAAAGAGTTGAACTCTAGTGATCCAAGAGAGGAAACAAGAAGAGGAAATAACATAAAGAGTAAATGGGACAAATGAAAAACAAATAATAAGATGATTTAAATACAATTATATAAATGATCATATTAATTGTAAATGGTATAAGCATCCTAATTAAAAGACAGAGATAGATTAAATTTAAAAAGCAATGAATTAATCTATGTTGGCTACAAGAAATCTATTTTAAATATAAAGGCACAAACATGTTAAAAAGCCTAAGGAAGGAAAAATACATCCCACGCTGATGTTAATAAACATAAAGAGCTGGTGGCTATATTAAGATCAAACAAAATAGATCTCACTGCAAACAATACTACTATGGATAAAGATTTTTACTTCAGAGTGATGAATGGGTCAATGAATTAAGAGGACATAACAATCCTAAATATTTATGCACCTAAAAACACAGCTTCAAAATATCTGAAGCATAAACTGATAGAAGTTTATATAATTGTGGATATGAACATATACACAATCATAAATAAAAATTTCAACTCATCTTTCTAAATAAATAATAAAACAAGTGGAGATAAAAATATGAGTGGAGATATAGAAGGTTTGAGCAACACTGTCAGTTAACTGGACCTCACTGATATTTATATAGCACTTCATCTAACAACAGCAGAATATACCTAAATTTATATAAATAAATATATAAATTGAACGTATTGTGGGTCAAAGCACAATTCTCAAGAAATCTGTAAAAAATAGAATCATACAGAATGTTTTATCTGACCATAATCAAGTTATATTAAAAATTAACAGAAGGTTCTCTTGAAAATTTCCAAATATTTTGATGCCAAATAACACACTACTAAATAAAGAAGAAATCAGAAGATAAGTTAGAAAGTATTTTGTACTTAATGAGCATAGCAATACAACATCTGAAATTTGTGGTATGTAGCTAAAGCAGTCTTGGAGGAAAAAAAATCTATAGCAATTAATACCTACGTTATAAAAGAAGAAAATTCTCAAATGAATGGCCTCAGCTTTTCACTTATGAAACTAAAAAATAAGAGAATAATAAACCTTGAGTAAGTCAAACAAAGAAAATAATGCAGCTCAAAGTAAAAATCTATAAAATAGGAAACAGAAAATTAACAGAAAAATCAATGAAGTTAAAAATGTTAACTTTCAGAAGATCAATAAAATTGATAAAGCTCTAGTCAAAAAAGAAGATACAAATTACTGAGGTCAAGAATGGAGTGAAAACTGATGGTAGTGCAAGGAAATATAGACATATACACAGTTATAATTGGATATTTCAATCCCACTTTCCCATAATTGATAGAACAGAGGAACAAAATCAGAAAGGATATAAGTGACATTATTACACTTTCCACAGGCTTTCAAAGAACAATTAGGGAATGTTATGAACAATGTGTTCCAATAAACTTGACAACTTGTATCAAATGCACACATTTCTTGGACAAAACTTATTAAAGAAGAAAAGGGTAACCTGAATAGCCTTATTAAAGAAATTGAATTTGTAGTTAATGATGTTCCTACAAAAACAAAACAAAAGAAAACAAATAAACAAAGCCCTTCAGGCCCAGAGATCTTCACTGCCAATTATATCAAGAATTTGAGTAAAAAATAATACCAACTTTTACAAACTTTCAGAAAAACAAAACAAAGGAATACTTTTCACCTAATTTTACAAGGCCAGTGTTACTCTGATACCAAAACCAGGCAAAAGCATTACAAGAAACTACAGACCAATATTTCCCATGAACACACATAAAAATGTTTTAAAATGTGAGCAAGTAGAATGTAACAGCATATTCAAAGACAATATGTCATGTTCTAGTAGAATTTATCCCAGAAATTCAAGATTGTTTTAACATTCGAAATGAATCAATGTAATTAATTATTAATGGACTGAAAAAAGAAAAACATACAATTATATTTATAGATTCAGAAGAATAATTGGAAAAACATCCAACATCAATCCTAATAAAAACTCTCAGAAAACTACAGATAGCTGGAAGCTGGAAACTTCCTCAATCGGATAAAGGGAATCTATAGAAATCAACAGCTAATATAATACTTAGTGGTAAAAGACCAGGTGCTTCCCTCCAAAAGTCAGGAACAAGGCAGCAATGTCCACTCTCTCTATTTCTATTCAACATTGTACTGGAGGTTCTTTTCAGTGCAAAAACATAACAAAGAGAAATAAAATGAATGGAGACTGGAAAAGAAGAAACAACATTTGCTATTCATAGATATGATTGTCTACTGGGAAAAACCTATGGAATCAACTGAAATGCTAATTGAACTAACAAATGAGTTGAGCAAGTTTGCATGATACAAAATCAATGTATAAAAATCAACTGTATTTCTATATTCTAGCAATGAACAATCCAAAATTAATATTAAAATATCTTTCACAATAGCATCAACCTTATGGAGCTAAATCTGATACAATGTGTATATGACCTGTACACTGAAAAACTACAATCCACAAATAATAATGAGAAAATTTTAACATATACTAGCAAATAAAAGTTGACAACCAAAATATCAATAAGGGTATAGATTTAAGTCACCCAATTAGTAAATGAGACTCCTCATGGTCATACATAGAACACTGCATTCAACAACTGCAGAACAGATTTTTTTTCAAACACATCTAGAACATTCGTAAAATGTATTAGTCCACATACTAGTCAATACGGCAAGTCTCAATACTTTTTTTATTATATTTGTGCTATTTGTAAATTTATGTTGTTATACAGGTATCACTATCATCCCACTGTGTTTTGTAATTAATACAATATTTTTTCCTAAAACAATATTTTTAAAGGAAAAAGCTTGATATTTTAGTATGTTTAGCTGCACACTTGCCACTCCCTGCTTTTTTAATAAGGGGTCTGACATCTTTATTATGCACCGGTCCCGCAAGATATATGGCCAGTCCTGCTCTCAGGGCTGTTTCTCAGCTGGCCTTAGGATTCACAATAGCCAAGACTTGGAACCAACCCAAATGTCCAGCAATGATAGACTGGATTAAGAAAATGTGGCACATATACACCATGGAATACCATAAAAAATGATGAGTTCATATCCTTTGTAGGAACATGGATGAAGCTGGAAACCATCATTCTCAGCAAACTATCGCAAGGACAAAAAACCAAACACCGCATGTTCTCATAGGTGGGAATTGAATAATGAGAACACTTGGACACAGGAAGGGGAACATCGCAAGTCTCAATACATTTAAAGGAATTGAAACTATTCAGAGGACCTACTCTGACCACAATATAATTAAGCTAGAAATTGAATAACAAGATTCTAACTAGAGAAACACCCAAATTATCTGTAGTCAAGGACATGCATTGGAAAATACATTGAAATAACAAAAACAAAAACATTACCTAACAATCATTATTATTTATTCTTCATCGATCTGTCTGTCCTGTGTTTCAACTTCTACTAGGCGGTGTTTTAGAACTTGCTTTTCCAAGAAAATCAAGAAAACAAGATGTGTGGAGCATAGTTACTTGAAGGTGCAATCTGCAGAAGAATAGTTCTTCCTGCTGCATACCTGCCCTTGTTCTGGTTCCTGTTCTATTTCTTACCCTGGATCTCTAGGCTCCTATGTAGTCTATGAACATCTTCATGTACTGCTGATAAATTTCTTTTTAAAATTAGCTACTGTTTGTTTTCGAGGCTTCACACCAAAGATGTCTAACTAACACAATGTATATGTCTTATTTGTACATCTAAGGATAGCAATTATTCTTGACAAGCCTTCCTCTCTTTGTTCTAATAACTCTGTCTCTGGTTACTAGTTTTTCTATTGTTGAATGAATTGCATCTATTTCATGATTTTTCCTTAAGTAATTAATTACTGAATCTTAGGATGCTCTATTCTTTAAAGGAGGAGTTATCTGTTTACTACAGATTGCCTCCAGTTAGTGTGTAGAAGGGTTAGAATTTGAAACCACACTGATGCCACTAGATCATCTTCCAGCCCTTAGGATTCCTCATTCTTCTCAGGGACAATGCTCACTTTTTCTCTGTGATGGTAAATCTCTCGACAGCCCATCATTTGACTCAAGCATAGTTGAGTGGTGGGGGATGGATGATTAGTTGGTAATATGGATAAATATATTAAAAGGCCAAATATTACTACCTTCTCTGAAATGAATTTTTCAAACTTACCCCTAGACCCTTCCTCTCCTTTGTATTCTTTGTCTCTGAACTTGGCTCACCCTCAAAACCTTCTCTGGCCTTTTTCAAGAATTCACTATCAAAATGTATGCTCTGTCAATCTCACACCATCTGCTTAGCCTTTCAGAAATTTCTCAAATATTATTGATGATCTGATTTACTTGTGCTTCCACATTAATATAGATTAATTATATTTTAAAGTACCTTCCCTGTCATTTCTAAGATAGCAAGGCAGTAGGTGCAAGTGTGCTCAGTCCACATACATGAATGATAGGTTGAAGCAATATCTAGGCCAAGAGTCGTAAGAGTCAATGAAATACTGGTCTGGAGAAATGCCTGAGATAGATGTAGAAATTTTGGTATTATAAACATGTAAATGGAAGTTAAACAATGGGAATGCATTTGAGAGATTATATAGAGTAGACAATGCTAGGTATTGAACTTAAACATTAATTTTTAATGTATGGCTAAAGGGAGGGAAAGAGTTGAAAATGTAAAAGAAACACACTAAGGAAGAGCACTTCTAGGAAACAGAGAAATTTTAAAACTTTCCTGTGCCTGTTAACTTCCAGATGATTTAATCCCACTTCAATATGTATCTATTAAAAGAGAAGTTTATTTATCTCCAATATTTATCATGTATCTGTAAACTAATTTTGGATTTTTTATTTTCAGGTAATAGGCCTATTTGCGTGGACCAGAACAACGTACTGTTTTATTGATTAGATGGTCAATAATGATGGTGGTAATCAATGGGCATGATGCTGGCAAATTCTTAGCATCTATTTTGACTAGTATTTCTAATTCGTTGCTCTCTACCTGCAGAATGCACTCAGCTGGAATATGAATTTTCAGAAGTGAGTAGTAAATCAGACTTGCATTTTATATGTAACATCGAAAGTATTTAAAATTTTAGCCCAGATTTTAAAAAGTTGTTCACGTTAGTTTTTACAAATGACCATGCTGGATTTTGCAGAACCACCATATATTACCAACATCTCTTCTGCTAACTTTGTTGGTAAAGTTGCATTTTGAGAAGCTCAGTACTGAACAACATATAAAAGCTCCCCATTATACACAGAGCACATCATGTGCATGAGTATTCAAAAGTGATTTGATTCAAAATATGAGAAGAGTGAAGCATAACAAATACTGGCATTGATTTGTTTATATTGGAGGCTACCTTGAGAGCTCACTGTGCCTAACCGCTACATTTTGTTGTTGATGCTCAGCTCACTAAGAAATCAGCAGCTCTCCTATACTTCATATTAGATTTCCTATGCTATATAGTTGTGACTTTAAACTTCTTCTGCCTTACATGAAAGACATTTATTAGTTGCCTATTGTATACTCAGCACTATGCAGATTCCTTGTGATACAGAAGTCAAACCTTTGTACTGACATTTGTTCTAAATCCACTTCTCTTTCCTCTCTGTTTCCAAGGCATACAAATCTAATTTTAAAAGTAATTCAGGCAAAAAAATTTTAAACGTAACTAGGGTAAAAATATTTCCATGACAACTTCCTTATCAGGATTTATGTGTGAATTACTCAGACAATAGTATCTATATCAAAATAAGTTTTAAATATAGAAAATTCCCAATATGCAAATGGACTTTTCTCAGGTTTATATACATGAATGTTATATTGACCTTGGAAGACCTTTCTCCATAGAAACAATGGTGCAAATAATAGTAACCCCTTAAGATTGTCTAACATGCTTCAGTTTCCAAAGTAGCTTCACAACTGTTTATTCACCCATCTTGGAAAGAACCCTTTAGGAGTTTATGTAGGTACTGTGGTTTCCTTATATCTGTGATCAAATCCAGGCTCAAAGATAATGTAACTTGTCCAGGGTAATGTGTGCAGGACAGTTCTCCAGGTAGCCTTGGACCAACCCAATTCTCCCATTCTTGCTTGTCGTTCTCCAGAATGACTGTAGAAAGTACTAAGAATAGCCGGGCACGGTGGCTCACCCCTGTAATCCCAGCACTTTGGGAAGCCGAGGCGGGCGGATCATGAGGTCAGGAGATCAAGACCATCCTGGCTAACACGCTGAAAACCCGTCTCTACTAAAAATACAAAAAATTAGCCGGGCGTGGTGGCGGGCGCCTGTAGTCCCAGCTACTCAGGAGGCTGAGGCAGGAGAATGGCGTGAACCTGGGAGGCGGAGCTTGCAGTGAGCCAAGATCGCACCACTGCACTCCAGCCTGGGCGACAGAGCGAGACTCCGTCTGAGAAAAAAAACAAAAGAAAGAAAGAAAGTACTAAGAACACAACATCCAAAGATAGGAAGAGACTGGCCAGCAAAGCCCTGGCTTCTGTTTGTTTTTCCCCTAGAAATAGGATGTTCGTCAGTGCTTTAGCCCAGCATGTCTTCTTCCCCTATAGTATAAAACCCAATGTAGGCATCTTTCCAGGGACCCTCAGCTGTGGTGCAAATGAGAAACACACAGTTGGGACTTCATCCATGCTGGTAAGCTTTTCTGAGGTTCGAGGGACCAGCTAGCAATGAATAGTAGGCTTCTATTGTTCCTTATTGGCAATCTGTAATTCATAAACCTGCTTCATGTAAATTCTTGCATTGGGTGTTCTATCTCACCATATTTGGATAAGTTGGTAGCCGGTGCAAAGGAGTGGCCCCATTTTGAAGCAGTAATAGGCAGCATTGAAGTTAGGCCTCGCGATTTTTGGCTGCTACAGCAATACTAATTCCACTACAATATGTTATATTATAAATATGATTAAGTTACTTAATATCTCCAAGGCTCTTTTAGCAAGTATTGAATATTTTCCTTGAAAGATGTAAGAAATTATTCTAATTCTGGTAACTAAATTAAACAAAACAAAACAGATCAAATAAGATGTTTGATATCTATTTCTAAAGAGAATGCTTAGAGAAGAGTATGCTGGATAGGATAAAGATGAGGAAAGTAATGATGATTTGCAGATTCTGTAGGGGTCTTCAGAGAATTTTCAAGGAATTTGTGAAATGGTAATATGGGAGTGTGGCTATATTTCCTTTATATGAATGTGACTTCTAAATATGAAGTTATTCTTTTATTTTCCTTATTATCAACATATATAAATTATAATGGTGACATATTTTATAAATCTAGAAGAGAGATGGAAAAAATAAGGGAACAAAATGGAGAGAGAATTTTTAAGGCTATTAGCTATTATGAAAGACTTGAAAGAGAAAGGCAGAAAAGAAATATGTTTTAAAAGGAGCTTGATGGTGTGAATTGAACTGAAATGTGAGGAAAGAAAATAATGATGAAAAGAGGGGATCATGAGGTGTGCAAGGTAACTGAGAAGATGAATAAAGAAGATATGGACCCCATTCTCTTCTTTTCTGGAAAGGCCTTGAAAAAACTCAGAAGACATATGTAGTAGCATGCAGGCCCTATGATGGCCCCAGTGATCTCCACCTTCTGCTTCTTGCCCTTATGTGATCTCCTTTCATTGAGTGTGGACTGGTTTTAGTGAGTTGTATTTAGTGAAAATAATGGGGCAGAGGGAAAGGGATGTCACTTGTGAGATTAGATTACAAAAAGTCTTTAGTTTCCATCTCTAGCACTTTCCCCTGATCTTTCATGGTGTGGGCAGTTCTTTCTCACGCATTCTCTCTCTCTCTGTCTCTCTCTTTCTCTCTCTCCCTTCCTCCCCCTCACTCCCCCCACCCCTGCCATCCACCCCACCTCACCTCTAATTTCCTCTTTCTTTCTCTCTGCCTTATTATTGCCTAGGGAAATCAAGCAGACATGTTGTGCTTGATCCTCTGTAGATGCCAACATTGCAGAAACTAAGGCCATAAGTCCAGCAGTCCACAAGAAATTGAATCCTTTGAATAATCATATAAGCATATCATTCAGTCCCAATTGACTCTTCAGATGACTGGACTCCTGGCCTGCATTACTATTCTAAATTGAAATTAATAGATAATAACCCATCTGCACAAAAAATTTCAAAAATTTATTAATGAAATGCTCTAATTATAAAGGAGAATAAAAGGGAATATTTTAATATAATGTAATATGATTTCAATATGTAAATATTCTTGCATAACTACACTTGAAGACAGATTGAAGCAGTCTAATGCTTGAATCTATTTGTGACTTCAAAATCAGACTGCTACAGTTGTTTTGCATTTTCAAATACCATACACAACATTTCTATTGTGATGTGATTTTGTGATTTTCCAAAATGACAAACAACTCTTGTTGCAATAAGACAAAACACCAATTTCCCTTCAAATATTGAGTAATGACAACTCTAGGATACAGTTATGGCAGCATATTGATTTTTTAAAAAATTTTATATGTAGGTTATTATTTATTAATTTCAGAATTGTAAAGCCGGCATAGAAAGTAATTATTATAAAAGAAGGGCACTAAGTCTAATAGGCTAGCCTAGAGAAAAATCTAAAATACAGAAAGAATGTTGAATCAACTTGGTGGGTGTTAAAGTATCAGCTCAGCAATTCAATATGAAAACATCAATATCTAACTGTATATAATTTAAGGAATTACTGGCCAGTAATCTATGTTTCTTCTTAACATAAACTTTGTAACCTTCACCTTGCAAGATATTGATTCCTTGTAATCTTTAACACAATAACCCCAATTATTGTTCTTCAACACCTTTCTGTATTACTCTGTCGTTAGTCAAGCTCTACTTCATTTAATAATACATTTTAATTCTGCTGTCTTTTTCTATATGTCAACCAGATGATTTATCAATCCAGATCCTTGCTAGAAAGAAGCTATATGACATTAATCCTTTAGAAATTCTGGAATATTTCTAATGTGCACCAAATATGAGCTGAGCATTAATTTTTTAATCATCTTTGAATAAGCAATGAGGAATATACTAGGATTAGAGTTGTCATAATGGGGTTGGTTTTGTTATAGTTGTATAAACTTCGGTGCTTTAATGTATTCATTGCTCTTCATTCAGTTTTTACTTTATAATTATTGATGGATTATGAATGTTACTATCTAGAGATGCTACACAATACAAAGCAGCAGAGCTATATAAATGTCTCCTGATAATCCAGTAGGCATTAGTGGATTAAGCAATTACTAAATACCATAACTAAAATGTAAGATGAACTTTTGCCTGTATTAGCAGGAGCAAAAAGGCAGGAAGGAAGGAGAAATGAAGGAAAATTAGGAAGAGAAAAAGATGTGGTATTTAATGCAAGGGCAATTGCTTTGAAAGCTTGATGACTCTGGTGGTTTTCAACTGGTCAATAGTGCTGAATAAGAAATACCCTAAGGTCATTTTCAGAAAAGCCTCCTAGTTTGCATTGCGTTGATATAAAACTCCATAACTCAAACCTGTAAAACTATACCCTGCGTTCAAAGGCAGAAAAAATCAAACCCATCCTTATTATGCACCGTTGACTTTCCGAGGTGCATAATAAGGAAATAACACCTTGCATTCTCTTTTGCTGTCAGGCTATGTTGGCTTGTCTGCAGCCCTTATGAAAGATAAAAATATTCAACTTGTCTTACCACCTTGTGCTAATGCTCCACATGCTCACAAGTCATTAAGATTTTATTTTCTTTCAGTTATCATCACAGTCAGTGTGGTATTCATGGAACTCTTTGTGTGATTTTCACACCTACTTATAGTTGTGAAACTGGTCACAGAATATGTCTCAACAGTTCATTTGCACATCCCTAGCTGAACCCCAATTTTAGCCTCCAAAGAAATTGTCATAAACTGTCCTCAGGATCTCACGCTATTCTTTCTCTTCCCAGTTTCAGCAAATGACTTGCTTTATTCATTTAAAAAACAGCAGCAACTGAATAGAAAGGTCCTCAACTTCCCTCCTCTACCTAAAAGTATAACTTTAGTTTTATCTATCTTTACCACCTTCCTTCCAATCTCAGTAAAGAAATAGTTTTACTCTGTTCTAAGGTTAAGCCTTCTCTATCTGTATAATCTTCAATTTATTCACCGTCTTCTGTAAAATTGTTTCTTAATTTTTTCTCACTCTAATTTATGCAATTTATCCCTCCCAGTTTCTTTTACTTCTTAGTCTACAAACACACACTCAAAATTCCCACCTACACACAAATTTCTTCACTCCAGCCTCCTCAAGCTACTCTTCTATCTCTACAATTTCCACCATTATTCATGTTTTAAAAAAATAGTAAGTCACTGTCTCCACTTAGTTTCTTCAATCCACTCAAATTTGTTTTGTTTTTTTTTTTGTTTCTAACAAAATTATTCCCAAACTTTACCATGCTCAATTAATTGCTTAACACTGTCATTCGCTAACACATTCTTCAGGTCTCATGCTTAGTATATGCTCAATAAAAATTTTATGGAATAAAGTAAAAATACTTGCAAATTTCTTGTTAAGCCAGTCAAAGATTTTGATAATCAGTCCCAAATATTTTTTCTAGTTCCATCTCTTGCTATTTCAAATGCTGTGTCTTCTATTTCAAATTGAGTATAGTCTGAGGTCTGAATCAGTCTTCACTGATTTGTTTTTGGAAGAATTTTCTTTTTCTTTTTGCCTATTAAGTCCTATGCAAAGGAATTAGAGAATAATAGCTAAGAACTTGGCATGAGATTTCACATCTCTTGAATTAAATTTTTACTGAGCAACGTATCATCTGTATTAATTGTCATTACCTACATATTTTTCAAGGATCATTTGAAATGTCCTCTATCATTATCACTACTAGGAGTGTGGAGGAGGAACACTCCTCTCTTAACGCTACCTAGAAACCCAGAAACTTTTGTCCCTCTTTGTCCTCATTAGATTGAAAATTTCTCTATGGCTAGAACTGTGTCCCACTGTTCTTGTTCTTCTCCCAACCTCTCCCATAGCCTCAAAGACAATACCTTCTATCTGAAAGTCACCGTGGTCTTCCTAAAGAGGGGCAAATTTGCCATTAGCCCTGTAAATGGAAGCTGGGAGAGATATCGGGAGATAGAGGTTGGTATGGCTCCCTCCAGTTTAAGAAAGACAAACAAAGAAAAAATGTAAGCCATTTCCTGAACAAAAAATCTTAATTTAGAAAATCAAAATTTTTCTTTAAACATATACTGTGATGGGTGAACTGTACCAAAATAAGTATATACCACCCTTGAGTGGGGAAGGATGGCATTAGCACCTTTTATCTGATGATGTAGTCAGAGTGTGAAGAAAGTCTAAAAATTCAAGTCTTCTACTCCAAGATGTTCACTGAAAAGCAAACTTGCGTACCTCTACAATACTTGGTTGCCACATCTCCTGACTTACACTGAGAAATAGGAGACAAGGAGATAAGGCAAAAATGAGTGAAGAGCCAGAGGGGTCGCTGAGTGAGGGGTGTTCATATAAGCAAGGAGATTGGTGGGTCAAACAGTCCATGGCATATAGTCACATATGACAATTTAAAAATGACAGTAGCTATTACTACCCTGGTAGTCTCTCAAGATAGTGATTGAGAGCTAGGGGACTGATCAAAGATGCAGTATATTTAAGAAGATGTGAATCAAATATCTAAGCAATCAGTCCAAATTGGCTTAATGTGAAGGTCTTTGGTACATACAATTAAAAGATTCAAGAGAGGAAACAAGGGAAGAACAAAGACCAAAATCTCAAAGTTGAGCTTGAGAAGTAGTGTCTACAGAATTACCCTAAGGTAACCAAACGGTAGCTGCCTTGACATTGTATGTGGTTCTTGTGGCTGGTGCCTGGGTTGTGTGAAGGAATTGACCTGTGCCTCTAAAATTAACTCCACCCAGCAAAACTATCCCCAGATTTTGTAGGAATTTCTACCTCAGAGTAGAAATGCATCGTTGTGTCTGAACTTCATCCTGGAATTTGCTTTAGTTTCTGGAAAAGAAAATAACTGGCAGAGCCTCAGTTTTGCTCTTTCGTGTATCTAATATTTAATTTAATACTTAAAATACTCCTCAAAGTAGAGAAATAAAGAAGGCAAAAATTATAGCTTTGGAAGGAGGAGGTATGAGTAAAGACAGTGAAGTTTGTCACTTTAATTTGAAGAATGGAAGCAGGGAATGTTTCTGGAAACAATAGGAACATAGCAAAAGAAATGGTTTGAATTGAGAGTTGGAGCCCTAGCAATGGCTAACAAAAGCTGGACACTCGTGAAGTATAAACAGAGGTTGAGGTGAGGTTCTACCTATGACACTGGAGGCCAGTAGTGAGCCGTGTCCTCCTGCAATCACATGCCAACATGACGTACGGTCTGGCAAGTTTTTGGTTGTGGTTGGGTTGTGTGCTATATCTCATCTGAGAGACCATTCAAATTGTTAAGCAAGTGGAAATGAGTGTTTAGGAGTTCTGGTTCTATGAGTAACACTGGACTTTGAATCCTGGATCTGCATTCTTTTGAGTGTAAGATATAAAAGAAGTTAAGAAGTATGATTTTGGAGAAATGTGTAACAGTGATGGATGGTACACATTAATTAACGTCTGGGAGCCAAGACACCCTAATGTTGGACCTTTCTAACTGAGCCAACTCAGAGAAGAGGAGAGTTCCTTCTGCTCATTCCTAAAGTGACTGTCATTTTCTGACCACTTCAGTAATATTATTAAATCTAAAGAGTTGAGTAGTCTCAGAGTAATTGAGGCCATAGGCAGCTTCACAGTCTTAGAAGGCTGAAGCCAACAGCATGAAACAGCTTTGACAATTTCATGATGGCTTGAAAGACATGACTTGAAGAATTTATAAACAATTGTCAAGGAAACAAAGTATTAGCAAACGAAAGTCCTATTAACTGCTTATTTGACTTTGTTTTTAATCAAAGTTGAAGAATATCTGAATTGCTTACATGATCAAGTTTAGTCTTTGTAATAACTCTATGAAGTATATAATATAGTCTCGATGGCATAGAAAATTAAGGATGAAAATAGTGAAAGAAACATACCCATAATCACAAAACTTGTAAAACAAGAGCAAGGTTTTAGACTGAACTTTTTTTTCTCTATGTCTGCCATTCTGTCTCTCACCTACTGTTGGGTTGATAGAGCTATCACATGCACATGAAGCTAAAAAAACTGCATTTCTTTGAAAATGTCCTTTTGCCCAGCCATTTCCTGAGCCTTCTCAGTCTTATCCAGCAAGCTGCATTGAGATATCTAACTCTGCTGCAATTTTCAGCAATTTGCATGTTCTATGACTGTTTGGTGAGATAGTCTGGAAGTCATGCCCAGATGACATCTCTGCTGTTTAACAGGAAATATTGTCTCTCTTTTAACTTTGTATGTCTTCAGCCAAATAGTTTTACTTCTCCAAATTTAACTGAACAACAAGGCAATCATTAGCTACAAAGATGCATGCTATCTAAACTTGTTTTGTTTTTGCTTCTGTTTTCTTAAATCAACCTAAAACAATTAATCTCTGTTGGACAATGCCTTTGCCCTTTGAAAATTTGCTCTTTCTTTCTTTTTTTTTTTTTTTTTTGAGATGGAGTCTCGCTCTGTCGCCCAGGCTGGAGTGCAGTGGCGCGATCTCGGCTCATTGCAAGCTCCACCTCCTGGGTTCACGCCATTCTCCTGCCTCAGCCTCCTGAGTAACTGGGACTACAGGCGCCCGCCACTACGCCCGGCTTATTTTTTTTGTTTTTTTGTATTTTTAGTAGAGACGGGTTTCAGTGTGTTAGCCAGGATGGTCTCCATCTCCTGACCTCGTGATCCGCCCGCCTCGGCCTCCCAAAGTGCTGGGATTACAGGTGTGAGCCTGTAATTCGGCCACACCCGGCCGAAAATTTGCTCTTTCTTAAGCATCACAATGGCTTAAAAAAGGGAATGATGTGTTGCCCCTGCTGCCCACCCAAAAATTTTAAAAAAAGCACTTTGGGTCCTTGATACGGTTTGGATTTGTGTCCCTACCCAAATCTCATGTCGAATTGTATTCCCCAGTGTTGGAAGAGGGGCCTGGGGGGAGGGGATTGGATCACTGGGGTGGACTTCCCTCTTGCTATTCTCATAAGAGTGAGTTCTCATGAGATCTGGTTGTTTAAAAGTGTGTAGCACCTCACCCTTCTCTTTCTTCCTCATTCTTTGGCCATGTAAGATGCGCCTGCTTCCCCTTCACCTTATGCCATAATTTTAAGTTTTCTGAGGCCTCCCCAGCCATCCTTCTGGTACAGCCTGTGGAACTATGAGTCAATTAAACCACTTATCTTTGTAAATCACCCAGTGTTTTAGTCAGGGTTCTCTAGAAGGACAGAACTAATAGGATAGATACATATACAAAAGGGAGTTCATTAGGAGAATTGACTCTCACAATCACGAAGTCCAATAGGCTGTCTGCAAGCTGAGGAGCCAGGAAGCCAGTCTGAGTTCCAAAACCACAAAAGGAGGGAAACCAATAGTGCAGCCTTCAGTTTGTGGCTGAAGGTCTGAGAGCCCCTGGCAAATCACTGGTATAAATGCAAGAGTCCAAAATCTGAAGAACCTGGAGTCTGATGTCCCAGGGCAGGAAACATCTAGCATGGGAGAAAGACGGAGTCCAGAAGACTTAGCCAGTCTAGTTTTCCACCTTCTTCTACCTGCTTTTATTCTGGCCATGCTGGCAGCTGATTAGATTGTACCCACTCAGATTAAGGGTGGGTTTGCCTTTCCCAGTACACTGACTAAAATGTTAATCTCTTTTGGCGACACCCTCAAAGACACACCCAGGAACAATACTGTGTATCCTTCAATCCAATCAAGTTGACAAGCAATATTAACCATCACAGCCAGTCTCTGGTAGTTCTTTATAGCAGCGTGAGAATAGACTAATGCAGCACTCATTCCAGATATCTCATTTTCCCCACAGTTCCCTACTTTGAGGTATGCTATGTAATCATCTTACTTGAGTAGCTAAATTGAGCCAGAAGCTCTTTCAGGCACATTTGGGTGGATGGTAGCATGCATTAGAAAAATATGCATGCCTCATAGTTAGACTTTATTTTGAATCCCAATCTTCACTCTTTATGGTAGTGTGACCTGAAGCAAGTCAAAACCTCTAGAAATTCCAGTTTCTTTATTTGTATAATGTCTCCTATGAGAGGGGCAGAGGAGATGGCCAAATAGAAGCTTCCACCAATTGTCTCCCCAACATGAACAACAAATTTGACAACTGTCTACACATAAAAGCACCTTCATAAGAACCAAAACAGCTGAGAAAATGTAGCCCCAGTTTTACCTTCATATTGCTGAAAAGGGCACTGAAGAGGGTAGGAAAAACAGTCTTGAATCACTGATATCACTTCTCCCCCATCTCCTGGCAGTGACTGGGTGGTATGAAAAGAGATTCTGAGGGTTTGGAGGAGGGAGAACACAATGCCTGTGGACTGTGCATTGAACTCAGGGCAGCCCTGTAACAGCGGAAAGAAAAACCTGGCTGAACTCGGCCAATGCCTGTCCACGAGGGAGCATTTAGACCAGCCACAGCCAAAGGGGAATGGCTCATCCCAGCAATCAGATCTTGAGCTTTGGCAAGCCTTGACACCATGAGCTAAAGTGCTCTGGAGTTGTAAATAAACTTGAAAGGGAGTCTAGGCTACAAGGACTGCAACTCATAGGCAAGCCCTAGAGCTGTACTCAGCTGGGAGCCAGTGGACTTGGCAAGCATATGACCTAATGAGACATCAGCTGGAGTTGCTAAAGGAGTGCCTGCACCACCCCTCCTCACACCCCAGTTAGTACAGTTCACAGCAATGAAAGCGACTCCTTCTTCTGCTTGAGGAGAGGAGAGAGAACAGTAAAGAGGACTTTGTCTTTCATCTTGGATACAAGCTCAGCCACAATAGCATAGAACACAGGGCAGAGTCACGAGGCCCCCATTCCAGGCCCCAGTTCCCAGACAACATTTCTAGACACACATGGGGTGAGAAGGAAACTCCTTGCCTTGAAGGGAAAGATCCAATCCTGGCAGAATTCATCACCTGCTGACTGAAGAGCCCATGGGCTCTGAATAATCAGCATTGATATCCCAATAATACCTTGTGGGCCTTCAGTGAGACTCTGAGACATACTGGCTTCAGGTGAGACCCAGCACAGTTCCAGATGTGGCTATGGGGCGAGATTCCTTCTGCTTTAGAAAAGCACAGGGAAAAGTAAAGGGGACTTTGTCTTGCACTTTAGGTACCAGTTCAGTCACAGTGGTGTAGAGAACCAAGTAGCCTCTTGGGGACCTGGATTTCAGGCCTCAACACTTGGAAGGCATTTCTGGACCTGCCTTGGGCCAAAGGGGGGCCCACTACCCTGAAGAATGTGTCCCAGGCCCAGCATTCTTCACTACAATCTAACTGAAGAACCCTCATGCCTATGTGAACTTCAGTGATAGCCTGACAGTACTCCCCAATGGCCTGTGGGGGTGTTGGCCCAGGGGATGGTTTCTCTGCTTGTGGGAAGGGGACAGAAGAGCAGGAAGGACTTTGTATTGTGGTTTGAGTGTTAGCTTAGCCAGAGTAGTATAGAATACTAGGTAGGTTTCTTAAGTTTTTGATTCCAGTCCCTCCCCCAGATGACATCTTTGCCCAGAGCCTGGGGGAAATCACCACCCTGAAGGGAAGAACATAAGCCTGGCTCGCTTCACCACCTGCTTATTGTAGAGCCCTAGGGCCATCAGTGAACATACATGGTAACCAGGTAGTGGTCACAGCAGGTCTTGGGTGAGAAATAGTGCTGTGCTGGGTTCAGGAATGACCCAGCACTGTCCCAGTGGTGGTGGCCACAGGGAGGTTTGTGTCACCCAATCCCTACTCCACGTGGCTCAGAACAGAGAGAGGGACTTCGTTTGGGAGAAAGTGAGGGAACAGAACAAGAGTTTCTGTCTGGTAATTCAAGAATTCTCCTAGATCTTAGCCAAAACCACCAAGACTCCTCTATGAGTCTTCATGAACCACGGACTTACTAAGGTTGAGGTTTCCCCTAATGCAGATATGGATTAGATCACAACATCCAAATACCTTCAAATACCTAAAGAGCCTTCAAAGAAATATGGGTACAAAAAGCCCATACTAAGAACAGTATAATAAATACCTAATTCCTCAAAGCTCAGAAGCTGATGAATATCCACAAGCAACAAGACCATCCGGGAAAACATGACTGATAAAACTATCTCAACAAGGCCTCAGCGACCAATCCTGGAGAAACAGAGATATGTGACCTTTCAGATGGAGAATTAAAATAGCTGTTTTGAGGAAACACAATGAAATTCAAGATAAGACAGAGAAGTAATTCAGAAATCTATCAAATAAATTTAACTAAGAGATTGAAATAATTAGAAAGGATTAAGCAGAAATTCTAGAGTGGAAATGCAATTGACATAATGAAGAATCCATTGAGTCTTTTAATAGCAGAATTGATCACACAGAAAAAAAGAGTTAGTGAGCTTGAAGACAGGCTATTTGAAAATACACAGTCAGAGAAGACAAAAGGAAAAAGAATAGAAAACAATGAAGCATGTCTACAAGATCTAGAAAACAGACTCAAAGGGGCAAATCTAAGAGTTATTGGCATTAAAGATGAGATGCATAAAGAAATAGGGGTAGAGAGTTTATTCAAAAAGATAGTAACAGAGAACTCTCCAACATAGAGAAAAATATTAATATTCAAGTACAAGAAGGTTATAGAACACAAAGCAGATTTAACCCAAATAAAACCACCTCAAGACATATAATAATTAAACTCACAAATGCCAAGGACAAAGAAAGAATCCTAAAAGCAGCAAGAAAATGGAAACAAATAACACAATGGAGCTCCAATACGTCTGGCAGTAGACTCTTCAGTGGAAATCTTACAGGCCAGGAGAAAGTGGCATGACATATGTAAAGTGCAGAAGGAAAACAAATTTACCCTAGCAGAGTATATCTGCCTAACATATCCTTTAAACATGAAGGGGACATAAAGACTTTCCAAGAAAAGCAAAAGCTGAGGGTTTTATCAACATCAGACCTATCTTACAAGTAATGCTAAAGAGAGTTATTCAATCTAAAATAAAAGATTGTTAATGAACAATAAAAAATCATCTGAAGGTACAAAACTCACTGGCAATAATAAATACAGAGACAAGCAGAATATTATAACACTGTAATGTGATATGTAAACTACTCATATCTTAAGTAGAAAGACAAAAAATGGACCAATCAAAAATAACTACAACAACTTTTTAAGATGTAGACAGTGCAAGAATATAGAAATAGAAACAACAAAAACTTAAAAAGCAGGAAAATGAAGTTAAGGTGTAGAAGTTTTATTAGTCTTCTTTTTGCTTGTTTGTTAGTTTGTTTAGGCAATCAGTGTTAAGTTGTCATCACTTCAAAATAATGGGTTATGAGATAGTATTTGCAAGCATCATGGTAAGCTCAAATAAAAAAATATAACAGATACACAAAAAATACAGAAAAAGAAATTAAAACATATCAACAGAGAATATCACCTTCATTATAAAGAAGACAGGATGAAAAGAAAGACCACAGAACAACCAGAAAACAAATAACAAAATGGCAGAAATAAATCCTTACTTATCTGTAATAACATTCAATGTAAATTGATTAATCTCTGTAATCAAAAGACACAGAGTGGCTGAATGGATTTAAAAACAACCCAATGATCTGTTGCCTACAAGATACACACTTCACCTATAAAGATATACATACTGAAAATAAAGGGATGCAAAAATATATTCCATGCCAATGGAAACCAAAAAAGAGCAGAAATAGCTATATTTATGTCAGATAAAATAGATTTCAAGACAAAAACTATAAGGAGAGACAAACAAGGTCAGTATATAATGATAAAGGGATCAATTCAGCAAGAGGATATAACAATGGTAAAAATATACATACCCAACACTTGAGCACCCAGATATATAAAACGAATGTTATTAGAGCTAAAGAAAGAGATAAACCTCAGTACAATAATAGGTGGAGACTTTGACATCCACTTTCAGCATTGGACAGGGCATCCAGACAGAAAATTAACAATGAAATATTGGACTTAATCTGGAGTATAGACCAAATGGACCTAATAGTTACTTACAGAACATTTCATCCAATGTCTGAAAACATACACATTTTTCTCCTTAGCACATGGATCATTCTCAAGGATAGAACATCTGTTAGGTCACAAAACAAGCCTTTAAATGCTCCAAAAAATTAAATAATATCAAGCATCTTCTCTGACCACAATGAAATAAAATTAGAAATCAATAACAAGAGAAATTTTGGAAATTATACAAACACATGAAAATTAAATGATATGCTCCTGAATGACCAGAGAGTCAATGAATAAGAAGTAAATTGAAAAATTTATTGAAACAAATGATAGGGGAACTACAACATATCAAAAGCTATGAAATACTATGAAAGCAGTACTAAGAGGAACGTTTATCACTAAAAGTTGCTACATCATAAGAAAAATTCTCAATAAAAAACCTAAAAAAGCATCTTAAAGAACTAGAAAAGCAAGAACAAACCAAATCCAAAATTAGGAGAAGAAAAGAAATAATAAAGATCAAAGCAGAAATGATTTCTATCAAGTATTTAAAGAAGAACTAATACCAATCCTTCTGAAATTATTCCAAAAAAGTAGAGGGGGAGGGAATACTTCCAAACTCACCTTACAAGGCCAGTATTACCTGATACCTAAACCAGAATAAGGCACATCAAAAAAAAAAAAAAAAAAGAAAGAAAGGAAAGCAAAGAAAACGACAGGCCAATATCACTGACAAATATTGATGCAAAAATCCTCAACAAAATATTAGCAAACTGAATTCATCAACATATTATAAAGATCTTTCATCATGACCAAATGGGATTTACTCCAAATGGCAAGGACAGTTCAACATACACAAATCAGCAATGTGGTATATCCTCTCAGCGATATAAAAGACAAAAAAAAAACATATTATCATTTCCACTGATGCTAAAGAAGCATTGGATGAAAGCCAACATCCCTTCACAATAAAAACCCTAAGAAAACTGGGTATATGCCTGTAGTCTCAGCACTTTGGGAGGCTGAAGTGAGAGGACTGCTTGAGCACAGGAGGTTGAGACCAGCCTGGGCAACATGGCAAGACCCAGTTTCTACCAAAAAATTAAAAATAAAAATAAATTAGCTGGACATGGTAGCCCGTGCCTGTGGTCTCAGCCACTCAGCAGTTGGAGGTGGCATGATCACCTGAGCGTGGAAGGTTGAGGCTGCAGTGAGCCATGACGAACCACTGCACTTGGGCCTGGCTGACAGAGAAAGATCCTGTCTCAAAATAACAAAAAATGAGTACAAAGGGAACATACCCCAGCATAATAAAAACCATATATGACAGACCTGAAGTTAGTATCAAAAGACTGGGGAAAACCTGAAAGCCTTTTCTGTAAGTTCTAGAACACAATAAGGATGCCCATTTTCACCACTGTTATTTAACAGAGTACTGGAAGTCCTAGATACAACAATCAGACAAGAGAAAGATATGAAGGGCATCCAAATTGGAAAGAAAGACATCAAGTTATTGTTGTTTACAGATAATATAATTTATATTTGGGAAAAACTAAAGACTCCACCAAAAAAACTATTAGAATTGATAAATGGATTCAATAAAATTGCAGGATATAAAATCAACATTCAAATAGATCCCATTTGTCTATTTTGGCTTTTGTAGCCATTGCTTTGGTGTTTTAGTCATGAAGTCTTTGCCCATGCCTATGCCCTAAATGGTATTGGCTAGGTTTTCTTCTAGGGTTTTTATGGTTTTAGGTCATACATTTATGTCTTTAATCCATCTAGAGTTAATTTTTGTATAAGGTGTAAGGAAGAGATCCAGTTTCAGCTTTCTGCATATGGCTAGCCAGTTTTCCCAGCACCATTTATTAAATAGGGAATCCTTTCCCCATTGCTTGTTTTTGTCAGGTTTGTCAAAGATCAGATGGTTGCAGATGTGTGGTGTTATTTCTGAGACCTCTGTTCTGTTCCATTGGTCTATATATCTGTTTTGGTACCAGTACCAAGCTGTTTTGGTTACTGTAGCCTTGTACTATAGTTTGAAGTCAGGTAGTGTGATGCCTCCAGCTTTGTTTTTCTTGCCCACGATTGTCTTGGTTTTGAGGGCTCATTTTTGGTTCCATATGTAATTTATAGTAGTTTTTTCCAATTCTGTGAAGAAAGTCAGTGGTAGCTTGATGGGGATAGCATTGAATCCATAAATTACTTTGGGCAGTATTGCCATTTTCATGATATTGATTCTTCCTATCCATGAGCATGGAATGTTCTTCCACTTGTTTGTGTCCTCTTTTATTTCCTTGAGTAGTAGTTTGTAGTTCTCCTTGAAGAGGTCCTTCACATCCCTTGTAAGTTGGTTTCCTATATATTTTATTCTCTTTGTAGCAATTGTGGATGGGAGTTCACTCATGATTTGGCTCTCTGTTTGTCTGGTATTGGCATATAGGAATGTTTGTGATTTTTGCACATTGATTTTGTATCCTGAGACTTTGCTGAAGTTGCTTATCAGCTTAAGGAGTTTTTGGGCTGAGACGATGGGGTTTTCTAAATATACAATCATGTCATCTGCAAACAGAGACAATTTGACTTCCTCTTTTCCTAATTGAATACCCTTTATTTCTTTCTCTTGCCTGATTGCCCTGGCCAAAACTTCCAATACTATGTTGAATAGGAGTGGTGAGAAACGGCATCCTTGTCTTGTACCTGTTTTCAAAGGGAATGCTTCCAATTTTTGCCCATTCAGTATGATATTGCCTGTGGGTTTGTCATAAATAGCTCTTATTATTTCAGATACATTCCATCAATACCTAGTTTACTGAGGTTTTAGCATGAAGGGCTGTTGAATTTTGTCAAAGGTCTTTTCTGCATCTATTGAGAAAATCATGTGGTTTTTGTTGTTGGTTCTGTTTATGTGATGGATTACATTTATTGATTTGCATATGTTGAACCAGCCTTGCATCCCAGGGATGAAGCCAACTTGATTGTGGTGGGTAAGTTTTGGACGTGCTGCTGGATTCAATTTGCCAGTGTTTCATTGAGGATTTTCGTGTTGATGTTCATCAGGGATATTGGCCTAAAATTTTCTTTTCTTTTTTTTTTTTTGTTTTTGAGACAGAGTCTCGCTCTGTCACCCAGGCTGGAGTGCAGTGGCGCGATTTCTGCTCACTGCAAGCTCCACCTCCCGGGTTCACGCCATTCTTCTTCCTCAGCCTCCCGAGTAGCTGGGACTACAGGCGCCCGCCACCATGCCCGGCTAATTTTTTTTTCTTTTTTGTATTTTTAGTAGAGACGGGGTTTTGCCATGTTAGCCAGGATGGCCTCGATCTCCTAACCTCGTAATCCACCCGCCTTGGCCTCCCAAAGTGCTGGGATTACAGGCGTGAGCCACCATGCCCGGCCTAAAATTTTCTTTTGTGTGTGTGTCTCTGCCAAGTTTTTGTATCAAGATGATGCTGTCCTCATAAAATGAGTTAGGAAGGATTCCCTCTTTTTCTATTAATTGGAATAGTTTCAGAGGAATGGTACCAGCTCCTCTTTGTACCTTTGGTAGAATTCAGCTCTGAATCCGTCTGGTCTTGGACATTTTTTGGTTGGTAGGCTATTAATTATTGCCTCAATTTCAGAACCTGTTATCGGTCTATTCAGAGATTCGACTTTTCTTCCTGGTTTAGTCTTGGGAGGGTGTATGTGTCCAGGAATTTATTCATTTCTTCTAGATTTTCTAGTTTATTTGCATAGAGATGTTTATAGTATTCTCTGATGGTAGTTTGTATTTCTGTGGGATCAGTGGTGACATCCCGTTTATCATTTTTTATTGCGTTTATTTGATTCTTGTCTCTTTTCTTCTTTATTAGTCTGGCTAGCAGTCTATCGATTTTCCTGATCTTTTCAAGAAACCAGCTCCCGGATTCGTTGATTTTTTGAAAGGTTTTTTTGTGTCTCTATCTCCTTCAGTTCTGCTCTGATCTTAGTTATTTCTTGTCTTCTGCTAGCTTTTGATTTGTTTGCTCTTACTTCTCTAGTTCTTTTAATTGCGATGTTAGGGTGTCAATTTTAGATCTTTCCTGCTTTCTCTTGTGGGCATTTAGTGCTATAAATTTCCCTCTACACATTACTTTAAATGTGTCCCAGAGATTCTGGTATGTTGTGTCTTTGTTCTCATTGATTTCAAAGAACATCTTTATTTCTGCCTTCATTTCGTTATGTACCCAGTAGTCATTCAGGAGCAGGTTGTTCAGTTTCCATGTAGTTGTGCAGTTTTGAGTGTAACACAAGAAGAGAAAATCAAACACTGCATGTTCTCACACATAAGTGGGAATTGAACAATGAGAACACATAGACACAGGGAGGGGATCATCACACACCAGGGCCTGTCAGGGGGCTCGGGGCTCGGGGAGGGATAGTATTAGGAGAAATACTTAGTGTAAATGACGAGTTGATGGTTGCAGCAAACCAACACAGCACATGTATACCTGTGTAACAAACCTGCACACTGTGCTCATGTACCCCAGAACTTAACATATAATAAAAAAGTCAACATTCAAAAATCAGTAGCATTTCTGTATCCAGCAATAGATATAGAACAAACTGAAAAAGAAATAAAAAAGTAATCCCATTTACAATAGCCAAAAATAAAATTAAATAGCTAGGAATCAACTCAACCAAAGAAGTGAAAGATCTCTATAATGATAACTATAAAGCACCGATGAAAGAAATTGAAGAGGACACACAAAAGTGGAGATACTTTATGTTCATGGATTGGAAGAATCAATATTATTAAAATGTCCATACCTCCCAAAGCAATCTACAGATTCAATGAAATCTCTATCAAAATACCAATGACATTCTTCACAGAAATAGAAAAAAAAATCCTAAATGTATATGGAACCACAAAAGACCCAGAATAGCCAAAGCTATCCTGAGCAAAAAGAACAAAACTGGAGGAAACACATTACCTGACTTCAAATTATACTATTGAGCTATAATAACCAAAACAGCATGGTACTGGAATAAAAACAGATACATAGACCAATGGAACAGAATAGAGAACCCAGTAACAAATCCACACACCTAGAGTGAACTCATTTTTGACAAAGTTTCCAAGAAAATACACTGACTAAAAGGTAGTCTCTTCAATAAATAATGGTGCTGGGAAAACTAGATATCCATATGCAGAAGGATGAAACTAGAGCCCTATCTCTTGCCATACACAAAAATCAAATTAAAATGGATTAAAGACATCTAAGACCTCAAACTACAAAACTACTATCAGAAAACGTCCTGGAAAATTTCCAGGACATTGGAGTAGGTAAAGATTTATTAAGTAATACCCCACAAGTTCAGGCATCAAAGTAAAAACAAACAAATGGGTTCCCATCAAGTTAAAAAGCTTCTGCACAGCAAAGGAAACAATCAACAAAGTGAAGAGACAACCGATAAAATAGGAGGAAATGATCACAAACTACTCATCTGACAAGGGATTAATAATTAGAACATATAAGGAGTTCAAACAACTCTATAGAAAAATATCTAATAATGTGATTAAAAATTGGCAAAACATCTGAGTAGACATTTATTAAAAGAAGGCATGCAAATGGCAAAACCGGTTTGTGAAAAAGTCCTCAACATCACACTGATCTTCAGAGAAAGGCAAATCAAAACTACAAAGAGATGTCATCTCACCCAAATTAAAATGGATTATATCCACAAGACAGGCAGTAACAAACACTGATGAGGATGTGGAGAAAGGAAACTCGTGGACACTGTTGGTGGGAATGGAAATTAGTACAACCACTATGGAGAACAGTTTGGAGGTTTCTCAGAAAAGTAAAAATAAAGCTATCATATGAACCAGCAGTCCCACTACTAGGTATATACCCCAAAGAAAGGAAATCAATATATTGAAAAGGTATCTGCACTCCCATGTTTGTTGTAGCACTATTCACAATAGCCAAGATTTGGAAGCAACCTAAGCATCCATCAATAGATGTATGGATAAAGAAAATGTGGTACTTATACACAGTGGAGTACTATTTAACCATAAAAAGAATGAGGTTCTGTCATTTGCAAAAACATGGATGGAACTGGAGGTCATTCTATTAAGTGAAATAAGCAAGACACATAAAAACAAACCTCACATGTTCTCACTTATTTATGGCAGCTAAAATTTAAAACAAATGAACTCAGGGATATAGAGAGTAGAAATATGGTTAGCAGAGACTGTGAAGGTTAGTGGGAGGGTTTGGAGGAGGTGGGGATGGTAAAAGGGTACCAAAAAATAGGAAAAATGGATAAGACCTAGTATTTGAGAACACAATAGGGTAAATGTATTCAATAATATTTTAATCATTCATTTTAAAATAACTAAAAGAACATAATTGGATTTTTTGTAACGCAAAAGATAAATGCTTGAGTTGATATATACCCCATTTACCCTGATGTTATGACACATTACATTTCTGTATCAAAATATCTCATGTGTCTCATAAATATATACAATGATTATATACCCACAGAAATTAAAAATTAAAAAAAACATTTTAAAGTTTAAAAAATTAAAAAATAGCCCCTACTACTAACATGAAATTCTAAAGACAAAATATTCTGTAGAGAAGGTAATGCATTAATTCGTATCATCTATTGACACCTTAATTAGAATCTCCAAACTTTTCTGGTTGGATAAATAAGCTGAAAGTTTTTTCCTAAACAATAAATCCCATTGTACATATTTTGAGAGAAGGGAGGGTAGAGAGAACTCTACTTTAGGGACATTGCTGAAGAACTGCTCTGTGAGGGGTGGGCTTTTGGAGGGGCCTTGAGCAGCAGAGAGGCATCATCAAGCCCCAGCAAGAGGTAAGGGGAGGGCCTAGCAGAAAACAAACAAACAAACAAACAAAAAAACAAGTGTCCTAAAAAGTGTAGAGAGGTATGGGTGAGTAGTAGTATTTTTTTCTGCTAAGGGCACAAAAAATGCTCTTTAGAATAATAGCAGGTTAAATATTAATGTGTTTACCCATTGTATATCTCCTGCAGTGGACCATAACCTACATGATTGACACAGTTTTCATTCACCTCTATGTCTTTCACATCTACCACAGACCTGGAACTTAGTAGGTACTTATTAAATATTTACTATATTAATAAATAAACAACAAGCTTCTATTAATTAGGCACTAATGAGTACCTAACTCTGTGTTAACCTGTGTATCCATAGTCCCATTTAATCTTTACAACTACCCTTTAATGCAGGCACTGTCTTTGTTTATAAACAAAGAAACTGAGGCAAAAGGAGTTTAAAACTTTTACCAAGGTCACATAGCTAATAAGCAAATAAATCAAGATTTAAACCCAGGTCTATCCAGCTCTAATCCATTCTTTTTCCATTATACCTTACTGAACAAATAGCTACATGATGCCTCCATAGCAGACATTACTGTTCATATCCCCCTCAGAATTCACCTCTAAAGGATGAAGCCTTCCTACTGCAATTACTTAAGGACTATTCCTATTTTTATGGCTGAGAGAGCATGCTTGGCTTGCATATAAGCCAGAAGTGCCAGAAAATTGTTGTCCTACAAACAGTCATCAAATCAATGACAGTCG
This sequence comes from Homo sapiens, assembly GCF_000001405.40. Taxonomy (NCBI): domain Eukaryota; kingdom Metazoa; phylum Chordata; class Mammalia; order Primates; family Hominidae; genus Homo; species Homo sapiens. Next base: position 104,208,288 of record NC_000011.10, on the reverse strand, counting down.
GAGTGTTAGAGAAAAAAAAAATGCCAACTTTTTCATCGTTTGGTTGGGTAACCCTGAGGCATGGTCTGTCCTATCTCCCATAAGTCCTCAGTAGACTTGAGCCCAGTTGTCCACAGGGGCCACCCACTAGATAACATCCACTTTACTGACCTTGTGCCATTCTCTGATTTACTTGCCCACTACGCTTTTGGTACTTTCAGAAATCACCTTCCAAATAAACTACTTATACCCAAACCATTTTCTCAGGGTCTTCTTTTAGAGAACTGAAATTAAGACAGTCTCTCTCAGTGATCCCTGGGACTCCTCATGGTTTTAGCTCTGGAACAGGCTCTTGGGGACAGCTGAGCTTAGGTTACTGGGAATCAAAGAAATGAGAAAGGATTAATGACCTGGCACCACTCTGCCACACCTCATTGGGATATGCACATTTCTTTATCAGTCTCAGTCTGAATATATCCTCACTTATACACAAAGGCTTTTTAATACTTCGGGCGTTTTCAAGACCCATCCATGTCAGGATGCTTTAATAGTATCCAACGGGAGGCAAAGGTATAATTTCTCTTAAGGATTTTAAAATTCTATTTTGTAATAGTAATAAAATATGCTGAGAGAATATTTCTAAGAACTGACTGACTTTGAACACTGTCTGGCAATATGTAGAGCTTATAACGATCACCTAAAAATGCACTCTGTATCAATTCCTTTTGCTTATAGACTTCGCCACAAAATATGATATTTTTATTCACATTTACAACATTATTGAGGTTTCCAGAGTGTTTTATATTCAGCCATTTCATTAACATCTATCTTTCTTGAACTTTATTATTGATCCATAAGTAAGTAATTCTACCTTTCAGCAGAGTTTATAGATCAGCCAGAGAAATAAACTCAGGAGTATAATCAGGGTACATTCAGTTTAATTTTCTACTGAGGTTTGGGAAATTAAACCATACCCTATTAGTTCCATTTTCCCAACGAAATTTTTTTGAAGAAACTTGGTTGACAGACAACCAATGTTAAAATAGATTATCTAAGAACCAGACTGATGTAGAAGGAAATTTTAACATGAATAGGAAGAAAACAAATACAAGTGTGGGCTTGTGAGTAACCCGGGACAAGAACATTTAATCAGAGTGCAGTCGCAGATTTTCATTCCGTCAGAGCCACAAGTCTGCTTGCTCACCCCTGATTTCAGGGCCTGACTCAGTGCCAGGCCCAGAAGGGGTACTAAAGTATTTGTTAAACTAATTAATAAGTGACAAGAAAATGTGTGTGTGTGTGTGTGTTATTTAAAAACATTGGCCCATTTTTAAAGGTGTTCATGGTATACTAGAAAATGAGTGTGTTTTATTTAAAAACATGGGCCCATTTTTAAAGGCATCCATGGTAAAGCAGAAGCTCAGAGAGGAAAGAAACTCCGTTTGTTAATGTCAGGCTACTTATGTTTTATTTCTGCAAAGGTTTCAAGAAATAACATACCTCTCTTGTGAAAAGCAAATGTTTTCCCTAATTTCAGCAAAAGACTTTCATAAGGAAAAATAGCAATAAGTGGCCCAATCATCATTCAATGACTGCCCTTTAGATGAAGGCTAGCTCCCAGCACACTAAAAGGAATATCTCCAATAAAATTAAACTCAGGCTTCTGGAGCAATTGCCTTGAACCATTTTTCTTTACCCTATCCTTGCTTTTGTGCCCCATTCCTTCCTATTCGGCTTTTAATCTTCTTGAGTGTCTACTAAGTTCTGGAAGAGATTCACCTGAGATTTTTAATACCCATTAATGCACAAAATGCAGCCTAAATCAAAGAGCATGATACTCCAATTAAACAGAATGTATTAACTAATGAGGGGAAAAAACGATCTATGCCAGGTCATTTTGCTTCAGTGGTAGACTCTTAAGTTCTTTTAAGTTCTTGTGCTTTCTTGATGTGGAAATATTTAAGTGGATTTACCCTGTCCACAATAGTTTCACCTCAATAGAAAACTGTATCACTAGGGAACATTCTAATTTGTTTTATTATTATATTTTTCTATTTTTCAATACAGTTGTTCACAGTTATTTTGAATTTCTCCATGAACTTCAACAATAAATTATTCTCAGTATCTTTCCTGCTTTTGTAAAGCAGGAGAGACTGCTGTGAAGAAGTAGGACCTTTTTAAACCAAACCACCCAAACAAATGACACAGAGAAGTGTTGACATGAGCTCAGTGCTGAGTGCATAATACACATTTAATATATAATTTGAATTAAATTGAATTAATTTATTTGAAGTGCTGTCCTCTGGTTTTGCATTTTTCCTCACTTCTTTGACTTAAAAGATAATAACTTGTAGATTTCTATTCAGCCAAATAATTTATATATGCCTGTTCTTCCTGGAAAAAAAATGTTTTGACATTCTCTGCTACTTACATGGGCTCATTTTGCATATATGCCTTTTGATCATTTTTTTAAAGGAACACCATTTAGAAATAAATTTTCTCTTGTTTAATCCCAACACAAAGATTGTTAGAGCTTATGATCCAAATATAAACAATGGTAGAGTCTTTTGAATGTTTTATACCAGTTGTCCATTATTAAAGAGTTATGCAGCACTAAAAATAATTAGGATGCAAAATCAAAATAGCTTTGCATGCGTTATTGGTGTCTGGTATTTCTCATTGTTATTATGAGTAACACAGATGGAACAAACAATATTGTTGCTTTCATGCTAGCTATTTATTTATTTATTTATTATTATTTTGTTTTGAGACAGGGTCTCACTCTGTCTCCCAGACTAGATAGCAGTGGTGTGATCATAGCTCACTGAAGTTTAAATTTCCCCAGCTTAAGCTATCCTCCCACCTCAGCCTCCCTAGTAGCTGGGACCATAGAAATGAGTCACCATGCCTGGCTAATTGCTTTTTTTAAAAAATTATTTATTTATTTTTTTAATAGAGTCTGGGTCTCACTGTGTTGCCCAGGTTGGTCTCGAACTCCTGGGCTCAAGCAATCCTCCTGCCTTGGGCTCCCAAAGTGGTAAGATTATAGACATGAGCCACCGTGCCCAGCCTCATGCTATTTATTTTTATTCATGCATCTTATATTTTAGCTTGCTCCTTTCTAAGACCAAGGGATAACTATTAAGAGAGTAGAATATATTTCTCTGATGTATGGATTGATTACCACATCTAATAGTAATCAAATGTGATATGTAATTCCCATTTGCTAGAAGTTAAAATGCACAAATACCCTTCCATAGGCAATGTATATATAGAAAATATGAATCAAATTATTGTAAATACAGTGGTTCACCAATGTTTATGCTACAACTGCTGAGGATTTTCATGACCCTGACATGCCCCATTTCATTACGATAAAACTCAAACTAAATAATTTAACATAGGAAAGAATACAGAAGGAGGATCAGAAGGGAGAAGGAAGTAGTAGGTTAATATCTTTCCACTAGCCTGTAGTTCATTGCTGCTATTGTCGAGAGCTCTTCAAGGCAGACATTAGGGATCTTCTGATGTTATGCAAGGGCAACGTTTTGCCATCTTCTTCAAATTGGAGAGATGCTGGTCAGAAAAATAAAGCCATTATTAATGAATGAATAACTAGATTTTTCCTATTTAGTACATACCCAGAATTGTAGCACATTTTTCTACCGAAATCAATCTAATTTCTAGCCCATTGATGTTGAAATATATCTGATACTCATCTCTACCTCATTCACTCAGTTAGATGTCTCAGTAACGTTAGATGCCCAAAACATGTGCTGACTTTTCTCTTTTCTTGTCCATATTTTTCACTATATTTTAAACCCTGAGGCTCAAATCTGTGTCTTGTTCACTATTTTATCATTCTCTAAGATCTCTGAAGTTCTAAATTTCTATACTTCTAGAATGAATACATTTAAGATACCCTGTGTGTTCTTACAAAGAATAAAATGACAGAATTTTACCTGCATGAAGACCTAATAACCTGTGAATAACCTCATCCTAGAACTTATTGAGATGTTATCAAAGAATAATTATTTTATATTAAACATAGTATTGCATTAGCGATAGTCATAAAAATAATCAGACTTCAGTCCAAGTCATTACCTAAAAAATTTATCTACTTAAGTGGTCTTCAATTATCCTATTAGAAAATAACAGCATTTTGTGGTAACCCATTTATATCCTTAAACACATAATTTTTCCTATATTTAGGTATGGAATATGAATATGTTGGTATTATATATTCATTAATACTTTATTAAAATAATTTGGGGGTGTAAAATATTGTTTTCTAGGAATTAAAAACAAAACACTTTTACCAGGTCTTTATTTTCCTTCAGCCTTGAATTTCACATGAATTTTTAAATTATTTATTTATTTATTGTTTTGAGACAGGATCTCACTCTGTGGCCCAGGCTGGAGTACAGTGGCACCATCTAAGCTCACTGCAACCTCCACCTCCTGGGTTCAAGCTGTTCTCCTGCCTCAGCCTCCTGAGCAGCTGGGACTACAGGTGTGTACCACCATGCCCGGCTAATTTTTGAATTTTTCATGGAAACAGGGTTTCACCATGTTGGCCAGGTTGGTCTCAAACTCTTTACCTCAGGTGATCTGCCCACCTCAACCTCACAAGTTGCTGGGGTTACAGGCATGAGCCACCGCTCCCAGCCAAATTTCACATGAAATTAAGATTGACCTCACTGCACTCATACGTAAACAGTTGTTAGCTCAGTTAAATATAATTGCAGTGCAAACATGGGCCAGTATTTCCTTCATTAACTCTGAATTCCTCTTTCACACGGAAATACTGATGTCTTCATGATTATTCTAACTGCTCAGACTCTTAAAATATGTTCCCAAGGAAACATTTTATTTTTTCGTTTTCTATAACTTTTCTTTCCTTAACTGTATTGTCTCTAAAGCCACTTAAGCTTCTTCAGAAATTGATTGGAAATGGTAGAACCCTGACTGGGCTGTTTGAAATCAGTTTGCCACATAGAGCAATCTGATTGCATGATACCCAGCAGAGTGGAACCCGAGGAAATGGCAAAACAGAATTGCTCACCAAATGCCCTTCCTTTGCACACTGGCCCAGGATGCTCCATCCCAAGCCAAGGTCTTCCTCTTAGTATGATCACCATGACTTAGTCTCTTTTCCTCTTATAGCTCCTTATTAGTGTTCTCTGTAAGTATTGATCAGTCCTCTATTTGCAATACTGTTATTTTACGCTCAGAAAAGCAAAGTGCTAGTATCGTACAACCTCTTCCTTCATGGATCTATGGACTTGTTCCACCTGTCATTTGTCTAGGGGTCCACTGCTGTCATGTTTCTAGGTGTGTACAGTGGGCCCCTTCCCTCAGACCTCAGGTTTCACCTTGCTGAGATTGCTGTGTTCCAGAGCTTCATGCAATTGCTGCTGTGGAATTTTGCCAGAATATTGCACTTTGTACCCAACCAGGCCAGCAATTTGTTGATGAGATTTTAAACTTCTTCCCAATTGTCCATTGCCCTAAAGACTGTCTGTTTAATTCTGCTGCTCAAGAGATGCTGAATCCAGATAGAGCAGCTATGGCAGGTCATCAAAGTCTTGTTTCCATAAGGGAGGCTGGGCACCATTAGCACTAAACCTGAAGATGGACTGAGGCAAATGAGTGGAGCTTTGAATAGTGTTTTCAGTCTTATGAGACATGGCATAATGTCGTGGATCTGAGCATTGTCTTTTGATGGACCTAGATTTGGAGTCCAGTTTAATCTTTTGATAATTGTGTGACTAAGGCAAAGACATTTAATCTGCCTGAGGCTTAATGTTCTTCTTTGTAAAATGAAACAAATAGCAGTATTTACTTCACCTGGCTGAGATGAGGATTAAATATGTTAAGTCATGGATGTCAGGTTTGCTATAGAGTGCCTGGCACATAGAAAATACTGCGAAGGTAGCTATTATGATTACCTGGAGGTGAAACATGTTCCAGCTATAAGCTCTGTGTGGAATGCCGCACAATTACACCAATTCAGTGCTCCAGTTCACTGCTGCAGGTAGGGCTAACTATACAGTACAAAAGCAAATAGAAGACTGCCTTGTCTTAAAGGATAAATGCAATACTGAAGGACAGTCAAAAATGAAAAGAAGGGCAAGAATCCAAAATTGGAAAACAACTCACTGCAAGATAATTATTAGGTTATGGTAAGCAACTCAAAATGAAGCAAACCTAGACTTATCAATTGACAAGTTGGGAGAGATGGAGCAGGCTTTTCTTAATTCTGAACATATCGTGTTTTGGAGGATGGCCATTTTGTAATCACAGTCCGTTTTCTTGAAGTGCCAAACTTTCCAAGAGACTGTCATTCACCATGGACTTATTAATCAAGTAAAGGCACTGTGCCCGTGAGGAAAAACTGCATTTTGAGTAACACATTTTTGTTAGAGTTATACACAGTTACACTTTAATTCTGTGCTTTTTTACCTTCTTGCCTTTGCTCATGTAAGTGCTTTAGAAAGAAACATATTTTCACTTATTTTTGAATACACAATCTTTCACATGCTTCAGGGTCCATATACAATGTCTTGCCCTTCATGAAGTCCCTGGTTCCTTGCAATTCTCCAGTTGATGTAATCTCTCCCTTCTCTGTTCTCCCATAGCACTTAATCTGCTGGTGCCTTATGATACATAACACTTTTGACTTTATAGACCACTAATTCACATACTTGCTTTCACTCTGTCATCATGTCACTTGACCAGTCTTTTTTCCCCATGTTACATTCAATGCCAAGTCTCCAAACTCTTAGAAAAATGCTTTGAATACTGTAGAGGCTCAATAAATGTTTGTTGAATGCATGAATTTACTAGATTTCAGATCCTTTAGCTTCCATTTTCCATTAAGGAAGAGGTTATGCTAATTTTATCAATGGCAGGACCTACTACAATGTAGCACACAAAGTAGGTGATCAATAGATATTTCCTTGGTGAATAAATGGGTGGTACATTCAATGTCCCATAATGGGATTTCAGTTAAACAAAGCTTCATTTAGGTTTGGACAGAAGAACATGAAGCAGCTACATGACACATCTTGGCAGGCTTTTAAGAATTTGGAGGACCTGATGGAAGCACTGAAGTGCAAAAGTCACACAACAGCACTGAAATATAATGAAATGTGTAATAAAAATGCTTCTTTCTTAATTCAGCAACACTTTATTTTGCCCCACTGCTCATTAGGCATTTACTTCTTAATAAACTTTAATTTGTGTGCATATTAATTATGAAATTTTAAATGAAAGTGATTATTCAAAATCCTATTACATTTTATATGCTTTAAAATGCACTATAAAAGTTTACAAGTCAGTGGCTATCTCAGATTACATATGTGAGATGTTTGCAAGTCAGACAGAATTACATAAAGCTTTTGACACCTGGTCCTTCAAACATTTAAAAGCAATATATAGCATAACAAATGTGACATATATGTACAATAAAACTGTAATTTACTGTAGTGCTCTAAAAGTGACCTTGTCTCATTAACTGAATCATATGGGTAACTGGGAATTAAGTATATAATATGTTTTTTTCCTAGATTCATTGACTGTTACAATTATAACTTACTCTATCAAAAGCCACCTAACTCGTCCACTGACCTTCCACTCTTGCCCGTCTACCATCTATATTGCCTTGCAGTATCCAGTGATCCCTGTGAGATACAAGCAGATAAGGTTGCTTCCAAATACATTAGAGTTAAAATTTAAAGTTTTTATCATGGGGAACAACCACATGTGAGAACTATAACTGCAGGTTATGCTAAGTGGTTCTCAGCCTTTGCTGCCTATTGTAATTACCTAGGGAGCATCAAACCATTCTGATGCTTGGATCCCCCTCCCAGAGTTCCTGATTTAATTGGTCTGAGTTGGTGCCCATGCATGACCTGGGCATCTCCCAATAGCTCCCCAGGTGGTACTAATGTGCGGCCATGTTGAGAACCACTGTGCTAAAGAGTTTGGCTCTTAATCTGAGTGGAAATGAGTAACCACTCATGGGTTTTAAACAGCAAAGCAAAGCAAATTGACCCCTTATATAGAATTTTTATTGAAAAAAGGAAAAGTGACGAGCTCACCATATCATTTATTAATCCTCAAAATTTCAATCCCTTTTAATAAAGAATAGTATCTCATCTAGAATAGAAGCAACATTTGTGCCCCTATGTGGTTTAACTAAGTTATTTAATAAATATTTATCAATCATGACTACATCCATGTCACCAATACACAACAGCACTTTGCTAAGTACAAATTATTCATTCATTTATTCAGCAGCATTGGCTGTTTTTATTATATGCCAGGCACTATCCCAGGTGTAAAAGAGATGAAAATGAACAATCATATTTCTACTTCTCAAAGATGTTAACCCTTCATCAGGAGGACAGACAAATGCATGGTTAACTCAATGATAAAATTAAAAATTCTATAGAAGTGAAGATAAGGGAAAAGTAATCTGCTGTTAGGGGCAAGAAGAGGGTGAGCAATAGAAGCTTCAGAGTAGAAGTGCTATTTGCCTTAGTCCTTAAAAGATGGTTGTGTATTGACCAAGAAGAGATGAGAGAAAGAGTCTAATTTGAGGAAATGGCAATGCAAAGGCCTGGAGGAAGCATGAGAGGGCATGGTCTGCTGAAGATATGATGAAGAATTCAGGATATAGAGTGCAGGGTATGCGGGAAGGGATGGCACCTGATTAAAAAAAATAGGAAAGTAATTTCTATTATCTCAATCTCTTTGGAATTTTAATTTCTTTCACTAGTCTCTTGATATTTAGAGAAAGAAAACAGTTTCTGCATGGTAATATTTAAAATCTAGAAATTAAAATTTAAGAGTTAAGCTCTTTGAGTACAAAGTAGAATGACTCAGAGCAGCAGCTCAAATGCCAGCCTATGGCTTCTATTTCCCTATGGGTTAGCAGTAAATCCAGATGGCAGCACATGTAGATAAAAGTCATTTGCAATGTACATGAGGAACACCCAAAATACCAACCTGCCCTAATATACCCTGCATTGGCTTAAAATTCCTTTCTAATCTGGAGTCAATAGAATACTTCCTGTGAGCCAAATTTGGCCCAGTGCCTGTTTTGAAAATACAATTTCATGGGAACGCAGCCATTCTCATTCATTTACATATTGTCTATGGATGCTTTCATGCTACAATGGTAGAGTTGAATATCTGTGACAGAGACCATATGGGCTACAAACCTAAAATATTTACTCTCTGGTTCTTTATAGAAAAAAATTGCCAACCACTGATCTAGCATGTGAGTAGAGTTTTCCTCTATAAAGGCTCAATTTTTTAACCTGAGAGGGCTAACACATTAAGCCACTGTCACTGCTTAATATGTCAGCACACAATTTAGCATGGCTACTAAGAGCACAAGCTCTGCAGCCTTCTAGGTTGTAATCCCAGCTCTGCCACTTGCCAGTTGTGCAAGTAATTTAGGAACGTTCATAAATTTTGCTAAGCCCTAGAGAAGGCCACAGAACTCAGTTGTGAAGACCAACTATTGCACAACACCAGGGGCAAAATGCATTACATAGTCTATATGAATAATGACCATGAAATTATGCAACATGCAACCTTCGTGTCCCAATGTGGTTTACACATCTGTTAAGTAAAGCCAGTGATACCCTCTTTCTCATAGAAGGGTTAAAAAGAGCTAATTAGGTAATATGATAAAGCAATTATCACAGGGGCTAGCACAGATTATGCACTCAGTAAATAAAGTTACTGTGGCAGATTGCTACTTGTCTCCCAAAATTATATTCTTATTTTCTGATTTTCTAATGGAGTTTTAATTGAACACAAACCATCTGGTTAGAGTCTATATTTGCTAGTTTTCTTTACAGATGGGTGTGGCTACGTAATTAAATTTGGGAAAAATAATATGACTAGAAGGGAAAATACAACTTCCACATCAGCTATGACTAAAGATCACTCATTTATTCTGGAGTTTGTTTTTATCTCCTTCTCATGGAGTATGCCAGAAGATATAGCTGATAACTGACATTGACTGCACATGAAGACAACACCCTATGGAGATGAAGAATCAAAAAGATGGAATGAATCTGGGTCCATGAATGATCTCAGGAGGAGAACTTCCATGACAAACTACAAAACACACTTTTATATGAGAGAAAAATAAACACCCATCTTATTTAAGCCACAGTATTCTGACAGCTTTATTGATGCCAAATTGACATACAATAACCTAGATGTATTTAAACTGTAAAATTTATCATGTTTTGACTTAGGTATATGCCTATGAAAACATCACCATAATCACAATAATGAATATATTCACGATCCCTAAAAGCTTCCTTGTACCCCTTGGGAATCACATCCTTCTGTCTCTCCTCTTAGCCCCCAATCACCAGACAGCTACTATATTGTTTAATATAGTCTTTTGGTCAGAGTACCTTACCTTCCTTTAAATGAATGCATTCTTCGTAATTACCGTGAGTTTACTGTTGCTTATGGAAATTTTTTACAAATGGTCCAGATGATGGGTATGTTTTTAATGTGTGGGGAGGGTGGGAGGAGAAACACATGAAATGTGAGGCCCAAAATAGATTAAAGCAGTGTTTTGGGGTGAGTGGCTTAAACCATCAGGAGCAGCTACTTGCTTGATTGTAATAATTGAGGGCAAGGCCAATGTCTCATTCCTCTCTGAATCCCTGGCACCTATAACAGCCTCCTACCTTCAGTGGGCACTCAACGCATGCCAAATGGGTGAATGGAGGAAGGTACCATAGCATGAAAAGAGAGGGGAAAAAAGTCAGCAATTAAAGTTATTTCATAATTATTCACTGAGCTTGACATGACTGTCAATGCATTAGGAGACCAAGATCAACAGCAGATTTTAGACAATTTTACTTTAAAGCAACTGAAGCAACAAAGACGTTTAGGTAAAGCAATTTTGAGGAAAACATCTTTGATCTTCCAAAATACTTGGCAAAGGAGAACAAAAGTAAGAAAATACTCAATGTTATAAAATCCCTCAAGAGAAAACATTTTTATTTGACATTTATGAGTTATCTCTGGTTATATCTTTTTCAACTCCTGATCTAAGCCCAAGAGCAAATAACAAAACAGAATGAGAAAGAATGAGCAGAATGTGTACTATGCCAAAGTAGAGGGAAAGGGCGAGAAAGTGGATGAACAGAATAGGAACTGCAAAAAAGAAAAACAAAAACAAAACCTCACCAACCTGATCCACAGTGAGCCTAGACCCCTGTAATTTATTTTTCCTTTGGATGCTTGTTATGAGCTCAATGTGCATTTACTCATCACTCAACCAACCAGGAAGTATGCTAGAAATTGGAGGTAAAATGGTAAATATGGCAACTATCAATGCCAATCTTAATAGGAGAAGATAGTCGTGTAAACACATACATAAAAGTTACAAATAAAGGAACCACACATTCCAATTTTCTCAGGACAATTCCAATTTAAACTTATGGGATTAATGTAATTTTTGCTAGCATACTTTCACTTTCTAAAGTGCCCCAGGTTGGATGATAAATATGGTGTTATGATAGAAATCTTAATGGGAGTTCAAAGAACAAAGAAGTTAAGTCTACCTGAAGATGTCAGGAAATATTTCACATGGAGGAAATATTTAAAATGAATACAAAATTTAGGTAGATATGATCTACGAAAGTAAGGGCAGAGCTGGGCACTCCAGGCAGAGGGAGCAATGTGGGCTGAGTTTCAGGTTCGTGATCAAGCATAGAACTTTCAGAGGAAAAAAATAGGCTGGTAAAGACAGAGAAGGCTTATAGAGAATGGAAAATATTTTGCATTAAAATTTATAAACAGTGGAAGAGAATAGATTAAGAATGCATACAATATTTCTGAGAATACAGGTAAGTTGGTGACCACAGCTTACTAATAGGGTCCACTCTTCCAACTGATGATTAATGTAATGACATCTATGAGATCAGGCATAGGAACAAGACATGGCTGGTGATATTGATTCAACTTTTTGTAAAATGATGTAACTAAAGGAGAATGGACAAAATGTTGAATACGTGTAGTGGCAAGAGATCTTTTAATATAATAAAGTATTTCTTCCAAGTCATGTAAACAGGGAAGTGGAATCAAGCTGCATGGGGGAAAGAAGTGTAGGAAAAAATAAAAAGAATAAGAAACAAAATGATTAGATTAATGGATCTCAAATTATATTGAGCATAAGAATCACCTACTCTGTTCATTAAAAATAATAAACTGGTGTTTCACTCCTAGAATTCTGATGTAGAAAATCTGGTATGAGTTGCAAGAATCATCTCTAAGGAATAGGTTTGGTTGAAGTGAAGAATAGGGGTCCAGAGAGTCTTCAAATTCACTACAAATAAATTTTCTATGCTTTGAAAATATGCTTTCATCAACTACTTTTCTTACTGGAAGAGATTTGGTTCATTTTTTTTAATTTCTTCCTTTTCTCAATCACTTGCTCATTCAAAAACATAGATTCCAAAGTGCTGAATTCACTCACTGTCCTTAGCAAGTTGCTTAATTCATTTCTGTATTAATCACCTGTAAAATGGGGATAAAAATGCCTATGTTGTAGGGATGTTGCATCTGTAAAATGCAACATTTTTTCATCTATAAAATGGAGATCTGTTTTTTTTTTTTTTTTTTAAATTTATTTTTTTATTGATAATTCTTGGGTGTTTCTCACAGAGGGGGATTTGGCAGGGTCATGGGACAATAGTGGAGGGAAGGTCAGCAGATAAACAAGTGAACAAAGGTCTCTGGTTTTCCTAGGCAGAGGACCCTGCGGCCTTCCGCAGTGTTTGTGTCCCTGATTACTTGAGATTAGGGATTGGTGATGACTCTTAAGGAGCATGCTGCCTTCAAGCATCTGTTTAACAAAGCACATCTTGCACCGCCCTTAATCCATTTAACCCTGAGTGGACACAGCACATGTTTCAGAGAGCACAGGGTTGGGGGTAAGGTCACAGATCAACAGGATCCCAAGGCAGAAGAATTTTTCTTAGTGCAGAACAAAATGAAAAGTCTCCCATGTCTACTTCTTTCTACACAGACACGGCAACCATCCGATTTCTCAATCTTTTCCCCACCTTTCCCGCCTTTCTATTCCACAAAGCCGCCATTGTCATCCTGGCCCGTTCTCAATGAGCTGTTGGGCACACCTCCCAGACCGGGTGGTGGCCGGGCAGAGGGGCTCCTCACTTCCCAGTAGGGGCGGCCGGGCAGAGGCGCCCCTCACCTCCCGGACGGGGCGGCTGGCCGGGCAGGGGGCTGACCCCCCCACCTCCCTCCCGGTCGGGGCGGCTGGCCGGGCAGAGGGGCTCCTCACTTCCCAGTAGGGGCGGCCGGGCAGAGGCGCCCCTCACCTCCCGGACGGGGCGGCTGGCCAGGCGGGGGGGCTGACCCCCCCCACCTCCCTCCCGGACGGGGCGGCTGGCCGGGCAGAGGGGCTCCTCACTTCCCAGTAGGGGCGGCCGGGCAGAGGCGCCCCTCACCTCCCGGACGGGGCGGCTGGCCGGGCGGGGGGCTGACCCCCCCACCTCCCTCCCGGACCGGGCGGCTGGCCGGGTGGGGGGGCTGACCCCCCCATCTCCCTCCCGGACGGGGTGGCTGGCCGGGCTGAGGGGCTCCTCACTTCCCAGTAGGGGCGGCCGGGCAGAGGCGCCCCTCACCTCCCGGACGGGGCGGCTGGCCGGGCGGGGGGCTGACCCCCCCACCTCCCTCCCGGACCGGGCGGCTGGCCGGGTGCGGGGGCTGACCCCCCCATCTCCCTCCCGGACGGGGTGGCTGCCGGGCGGAGACGCTCCTCACTTCCCAGATGGGGTGGCTGCCGGGCGGAGAGGCTCCTCACTTCTCAGACGGGGCAGCTGCCGGGCGGAGGGGCTCCTCACTTCTCAGACGGGGTGGTTGCCAGGCAGAGGGTCTCCTCACTTCTCAGATAGGGCGGCCGGGCAGAGACGCTCCTCACCTCCCAGACGGGGTCTCGGCCGGGCAGAGGCGCTCCTCACATCCCAGATGGGGCGGCGGGGCAGAGGTGCTCCCCACATCTCAGACGATGGGCGGCCGGGCAGAGACGCTCCTCACTTCCTAGATGTGATGGCGGCTGGGAAGAGGCGCTCCTCACTTCCTAGATGGGATGGCGGCCGGGCGGAGACGCTCCTCACTTTCCAGTCTGGGCAGCCAGGCAGAGGGGCTCCTCACATCCCAGACGATGGGTGGCCAGGCAGAGACACTCCTCACTTCCCAGACGGGGTGGCGGCCGGGCAGAGGCTGCAATCTCGGCACTTTGGGAGGCCAAGGCAGGCGGCTGGGAGGTGTAGGTTGTAGTGAGCTGAGATCACGCCACTGCACTCCAGCCTGGGCACCATTGAGCACTGAGTGAACGAGACTCCGTCTGCAATCCCGGCACCTCGGGAGGCCAAGGCTGGCGGATCACTCGCGGTTAGGGGCTGGAGACCGCCTGGCCAACACAGCGAAACCCCGGGAGATCTGTTTTATCATCTGTAAAACGGGAATAAAAATGCCTGTGTTTTAGGGATGTTGCATTTAATTATATAATACATGCAAGGGACCTGAGATAGAAACTGAAATATAACAGTCACTTGAAAAATAATACTGGTTATTTTTGTTCATTGTGTGTTATCTTACTACAAATCAATCCTTGTAAGACTCCAGAAGAAAGCTCTTCAAATGGATTTAATCATAGGGGCCTCTAAGTACCTGGGGAAGACTCCAGATGATCACAGATCCTTCAGATACCCAGTAAGAATGGGAAAGAACAGGTGATTTAAGTCCTTACAGATAATTCTACAATTGTAAGGAGAGCAAAATGCTAAACTCACAGTGACCTAGATTAGTGTAGAATCATATACTATTTACATTGGAAGGTTTATAAGAGGTTATCTAGTCCAAATATATTATTTATTTATTAGGAAACTGATATGAAAGAAGGTTATATATTTTACCCCAAGTTACAGAGAAAATGGTAGAAATTAACCTAGTGTCTAGAAGTTTGTATTGTCAAGTCAGAGGTGTTTCTACTGCTCCTGTCCCTTTGATTGTTACTTATATATTCACTCATTTCTTTCTTTCAATAAAAAATTATGAATTTTATTGCATAACTAATATGTGTCAGACATTATTTAAGATATTATAAACTAATATCTAATCTTAAACATCTAATACTTTAGCTAATAATCTAATAATAATAGCTACATTTGTTGAGATTTTATAATACGTGAAATACTATTTTAAAGGCTTTGCCTTTGTTAACTCATTAGTCTCCACAATTCTATGAGGTTATTTGTTGCCTCCATTTTGCAGATAAGGAAACTGAAGCACAGAGAAATTAAATAACTTTCCCAGGATTATATGGCTGCAAAGTGGTAAAACTGGGATGAATCCTATCTTGCACTCATAATTATTATATTGTACTTACCTCTCAGAGAAGGGAAACAAGCAACAAAGTAGACAAGCAAATAATAAAATTAATACAAATGACAATGCTATAATTGAAATAGCATAACATTCAAAGATAATAGTGAAGAGAATGATTAGAATCTATTCTGATGCTAGTGGGGAATTTCTCTTCATTGCAACGTAAGACCAAAGGGACTGGAAGCAGCTAAATAAAGAGGCCAGGAATAATGTTCACACTCATGTGAGAAGGCTCAGGTGTGTAAGAGCTTGGCATGTTCATGAAAAGAAATGGAAGCCAGTGTGACTAGAGTTTGAGAGCAAAGAAAAGAACAAAAAAGGAGAGAAAGGCGGGTCCAGATGTTGCAATGTCCTGGGCTACATTAAAACATTTCAATTTCATTAAAAGAAGGGAAGACACTGAAGCATTTTTCTGAGACCATGATTTCTATGCTTTTTACATCTTCAGTCTTTTTCATCCTTGTGCAACATACATGTTAGATAGTGAATAAAAGTTAGAGTCAAATGGACTGTTTTTAACATTACCAATAGAGAAGGCATTTTTCACTTAATTGGGTCTTTATTGTTACACAGGGGGCACATGCCATGCAGAAATAATAAAGAGTAATATAGAGGTAAGCTAAACAGGTCCAGAATTGTGTCAGGTTTCTGCCAATAAAAATGTTGTTCTACCATTCACATCACCACCTCACATTTTTGAATAACTAACAATGATGCTATTTAAAATCAAAAGGTCAGCCATAGGTCCATACTTTTGGAAATCCCTAGCCTAAATGAAATAAAACATTCATCTATAATTTTTTTCTCAGCCCATACATTCCCTGTTTATTTTACAGAAATGAAGCTTTTCTGCTTTTAAGAGAAATATACTCTCGGCCAGGCACAATAGCTCACACTTATAATCCCAATACTTTGAGAGAATTAGGCAAGAAGATAGCTTGAGTCCAGGAGTTGGAGACCAGCCTTGGCAACAAAGCAAGACCATACCTCTATTTTTGTTAAAAAAAAAAAAAAAAAAAGAGGGAGAGAAATACACTATAGAAAAAAATGTATTTCTTCAGTAATCCATCTCAAGCAAATAATATATGCTAGGGCAAAACAAAAATAGATTCACCTCTGACATACAGAATTATTGAAAGCAGAAGAGAGATGAAATGGAAGGAAAATGTTTCCAGAATTCCTTTCTTGCTTTTAATAGAATAAAACATAAGTAACAGTATCAGACCAGAACAGAGTCTGGGAGTGGGATGAAGAAGGATAAAAATGAAAAATTTGACTCTTCAAGCTTTACTTCCAAGGTGGCCAACAAGTCATGCAAAGGAAGCTATGAGACCCTGATAGGAGTAGAAGAATATAGCTCCTGTTGCCTTCTTGTACCTTACAGAGGAGCATCCCAAGCTGAATGGCTATGGCAGCCATCACAGAGTGGAGAGCCACCATGCTAAAGCCACATGAAATCCTGAGCTCTCAGCCCTATACACCCCCAAGTCACAATAGCACCAGAAACATTTTTTAAAGAATATGTAAGACCACATTTTTTTGGTTTCAGCGAGTCTTGTTGCCATTGGCTGAATATTTAAGTTATGAGTCAAATTTTTTGCTCTGCTGGGATTAGGGCAACCTCTCTTTCTCTAGGTCCTCCCTGCAAAATCTAGGAGTTTTACTTATGTCCATCTACGCGCTTTCCATGGCCAGCCAGGCATAGCCACCCCAGTAACCCAACCCAAGTTAAAACAGTGAAAAGTTACTAACACCTGGCACTGTATTTTCTATTGCTTATGGAAGTAATACTTTGAACTGATAAGTAAAAGCATGAAGTGTGAATTTGCATTTGCCAAGTCCCATATCCTGAATTACATTTTTAAATATACCACTTAATGCATCTCAAAATATAGGGAAAGAAATAGCGTTAGGACAGAGTTGTTATAGCATCTCGTACTAGCTAGAAAAAAATGCTAGCTGAAAAGTGTTCTCACAATCATTTTATAAGAATGTCTGACCAATTTCAGAAATGAAGCCATGTTTCTATGGAAACAAGATTAAATCTATGCTAACTAACCAAAGCACTGTGTCACACTTACCTGATCTCACTGACCTGGCAAGGAACACTTGCCTTTGAGAGCACAAAGTGCTAGATTAGAGGAGACATCATCCTTTCCTTCTTTTTCTTTCTTTCTTTCTTTCTTTCTTTCTTTCTTTCTTTCTTTCTTTCTTTCTTTCTTTCTTTCTTTCCTTCCTTCCTTCCTTTCTTTCTTTCTTTCTTTCTTTCTTTCTTTCTTTCTTTCTTTCTTTCTTTTTCTTTCTCTCTCTTTCTTTCCTTCCTTCCTTCCTTCCTTCTTGTTAGATGTTCTTTTTCTTGTAGAACAATGTGAGAACAATTGCATTAGCTTTGGAAAGTGAACTCAAGCTATATATTTTAAATCCCTTCTGTTGAACAACACAAGATTAAATGCTACAATAAATGAGTTTACAGTAAGACATGAATTTAATTGTAGTGTTAGTTCCTTCTAGTGATTTTAAGATAACTGGTCATCCATTATAGATGATCTCCATACAAAAGCATTGGAATTGGACTAGACAGATAGTCTCCTTCACCATTGTTCCTCTTTCTACATCCTGAAAGGGAGTGAGAGTATTTAATATTTCAGTAGTGCTTTATAGTTTACAAAGTGCTTACATACACACTAAATTATTTGACACAACATTTTAAAAACACAGAAACAGGCTTAGAATGGTTAACTGACTTGTTCAACAGCATCCCTGCTAACAAGTTAAAAGACAAAGCTCAAATCTAGAGGTTATTTCTACAATCCCAATTATGGGTCTCCAGCTACATGTATGACATGGAAGAATGCTCCGTGCATTCTATGGCCTGAGTGCAGACTGCCAAACTTTAATGAATACAGTCCCTGGCATTATTTTCTCATAGTAATGATAATACACCTTATCAAATAAATATTTAATCTCATACTGCATGGAATGTCTTCACATAATGTATTTATCCATCAATGCATGTAACATATATCATCATGTTTTTCCAAACTAACATGCATATGAAAAAGTTTTATCTAATTTTTTTGTGTGCTGACATTTATTGATCTAAGAATTATGTTATTTGTAAATCTCAGCAACTGCTGTGATGTCATATACCCAACTCAGCATCATTCTCAAAGCAAACTTGGGGAAAATGTAGTTTATCACTCCTTCCAAAACTGTGTTTATGGATATATATTAGCCTATATCATCAATGGCTATATGAAATAGAACATGAATTTAATGTATGTTTTCTATTATGAAATGGAATGTAAAGAAATGGCATAGTTGCCATAGATGCACTTTTGGGTGCATAAGTTTAAAAATTTTTAGAAATGCCATTCATTCCCTGTTGTTACCTTATGTTTCTGAAATAGTCCCAGCCTATTGTATCAGCTGAGCAGAAATTATACCAAATATCCTCACCACGTCTCCTCCATCTCCCTTCACTCCATCCCCTACCCTAAGTATTTCTGCTGCAGCTGATTGGGTAAACAATAAGTAGTTCTGATCTACAAAGATTAGCTCTATTCTATAGCTTGTGAGACTGAACTTACAAGATGAGGTGAACCAATCAGACTGTCACTTAGCAATATGAACCATGTAATAACATGGAAAGAGATCTAGTCAATGATGAGCACTTTCTCTGAAAAGTTTATAGAACTGGTCTATCGAGGCAGTGAAAAAGCCCCAAGCCTTTGAAGTTATACAAGATAAGAATCTCACAGAGAAGTAGTTGTGAGATAGATGAGCAGAGAGCTGAAAACCAGGCAAAAGCAGGATATTGAAGTCCTTTGCCTTCAAGAGACAAGCAGCCTCTGTCCTTCACTTCCCAGGTCCTGGAATCTACCTTAGGGAGGCCTGACCTCATTTCACTCCTGATCTTGAATAGATATGAAGCTCTCCATTGACTCCTTACAATAAGTTTCCCTTTTCAGGAGTAAGCTTGAATGAGCCACTGTTTCTTGCAACTGAAAAAAAAAATTCTAACTAGAACAGGAATGATTACCTTATATTTTAGTAGCTGAGTGTTCCTGTGTGTGTGTGTTGATGGGGGTACCCTCAGGTTATCTATTACATCTATAAAAACATAGAACAAACAGTTTTGAATTTTTATTAAAAGTTCATCAGAATTTCAAAGGAGGAGAGAGAGACATTCAGAAAGAAAGTAGGAGAGGCCTTTGATGGTCTATTAGAATATAATGATCAGCAATTTATATGATATCAAAAAATGACAATCATGCCATCTATATATACAATAATAAAGAAACACAATGCTCTAAAATTGCTATGGTTTGAATGTTTTTGTCTCCTCCAAAACTCATGTAGAAACTTGATCACCAATGGATCAGTATTGGGAGGTGGGTGCCTTGAATGCTGCATCTTGCAAGGGGAGGAATCCTGTTCTTCACATGGCAGAAGAGTAGCAGGAAGTGAATTTTAAAGGCTTTTTAAAATAGTGGCATTAATGTATTCAAAAAAGCAGAGCCCTCATATACCAAACACCTCCCCATCAGGCCCCACTGTTAGTATGCATGCTGAGCTTACAAACAGGTAGAAAGCAGCACCAAATCTGAATAAGAACCTAAATGACGACAAATAAATAATATCAACATGAGCAAGAAAACTGGACTGAAGGTTTTAGATTTCAAATAAAAATCCTCAAAATTTTCCTTCTATAAAGCTATTTGTGGAAGAATGGTTATCTGGGAGTTGCTCAGAGGAAGGTATTTATATTTATACCAGGAATCATTTCATAAATTTTAGGACTCTTCTTATATTTGGCACTTCTAGTGCTATCAATTCCACTCTTCACCTTCACAATTGTCATGAATGAATCACTTTACCCAGTAGTGGCCATACTGAAGAGTTCTTAGTTATATCAGCTCAGAATGAAATGAAGAAATGTCTGAGAGCCATTCACCTGTTAAAAAGACAAATTCTGTTAAGAAATGCCTTGATCAACTGTGGTTGTAATTGTTATTTACTGGGACCTTAATGGCAAGAAGTATTTCATACATTTCCCAATGACAGTCTTCTCACACGTGCTTTCACTGGCTATTTGTTGATTATGCAACCCAGAATCCATTCATCACAATTTCTCTCTGCTTTTAAAGAAATTTTAGGAAATAGAATGAAATCACAGGAAAAAAGCTTGTCAAAATATTTTCCCAATACACTTTTGATAATCAATATAGATACTGTGTACTTAATATTTTTATAATTTATAATGGATTTTGAACTTATCAAAAGCATGACACATGGTAGTATTACTAACCCCCAAAAGATGCATTTGTTTTTATGATTTGATATGGAACAAACGTCTCTAAAATAAACAGCAATTGCCAAGCTTCATGCTTAGCAACTTAATAGTAAACTCTGAAAGACCACAGAATTACCTCAGGGTAAAATATCAGTGCTGCTTATGCAAAATACAGACATGGAAGTCTATTAGAAAGCATTATGAGGTGCACAGCTTTGAAGCTAATACATTTTTTTCTCTCCACTGAGAAACTACAATTTTAAAGATGAAGCTTGTAGTTTGGAGGCCCTGAGTTAGACATAAATAATTTATATTCATCTAAGTTGAATGCCCGACTCTACCATGCTAAGTGCTACAATTATCAGGACCAGACAAGTGCTTCATTTTCATTTTCTTGGGTAATTTTTTTTTTGTGGGTGAATCTATCTGTAGATATTTCTGCATGATTGCTTACAATAGGCTTGCTCATTCTCCACTTAAATTTGCTAAAAGAAGTCAGCTTAATTATTTTGCTATAAGGAAATTTATATTAGTAATGAATTGTGTTAGTGTGTTTTATGATTGTTTTATCCTTAGTAGACTGCAGGGAGGATACATCAGGTCATAAGGAAATTCTATTTTCCATAGTTAAGTACCTTTAGTTCCCTTGGTCCATCTCATACTCAATGATAATTGTATTTGCCTGACCACTAGAACATTTCTTTTGAGAAGAAATATTAGCATAACAAAATTGTTTTGAGGGAAACAGCATGGCAATAGATGCACAGCAAAAGTCAAAGATTCTACTTTTCAGATTAAAACTTTGTGAGACCTGAATGTTGCTTTCTAATATTCCTCATTTGGAGCTACATTTCTCCTTTTGTCAAACATAAAATAGTATGAAAAATTTGCAGAAGGAAAAATTACTACATCTAGCAGTTATTTTTTTCCCTCGGTATTTCTTACTTACATATTCAGAGGAATTCTTTTGTCCTTCAATGGCATCCAATTGTCCAAAAGGGGGTAGGGAAATAATTTTGCTAGAACACCATAGTCTCTCAGGTTTTGAAAGCATTTAGACTACATAGTGGAGGCATAATTTTTAGGATACTGAGAGCAAATCCAGGAACGACTACACCTTTAATTTCTTTATTGTTAGCTTCAGGTGCAAAGGGCTGATGAACTCACATTTGACAGTTCATGATACTAACACCACCTTCTTTGGAAGTCTTTTTGTGTTTTTATTTTATTTTAATGCCTTCTATATTTTCTATGTTTATTTCATAATGTCCCCAGTTCCCCACAGGAAGTGGAGAAGAATAATCAAACATTTAAACCCTTAAACTTCTGAAGATCTTGAATCTGTGAAGGGGAAAATGTAGGGAAAGAGAGGGAGGATAATTACTTAAGAGGAAAAAGAATCATCTAATTAACCAAGTTTTAATTTATGGAAGATTTTTGATATGTGATTATAATAGCTACCACTTAAAATTTATCTGCCATGTATTATCTGCTATCATTTCACACTATTCATGGCAAAAAAAAAACTCATAGTCATCCTCGATTTATCTTTCTTTTAACTCTCATGTACATTTTAATGGCAATAGCTTCAAAACATATTCCTGCCTCTGTTCAGTGTTTCTAGTCCCCACTGCTACTCTCCTGCTCCAAAACAATATTTCCTTTCACATGGACTGTAGGAGCAGTCTCCTTTCTCATTTCTCTGTTTCCATACTTAAAATATACTTGTAATATATTGGCCTTTTCCTTCCAACCAGTCTTTGTTTGACTGTTGCCTCTTTCTGGGAAACCCTTTTGATTGTCAATTGTTTTATTCCTTTACATCACTCAGTTCTCAGCTCAAGAATCATCTCCTTGAAGATAATTTTTAATACCACTCTATGGAAAATAGCCTGTCTTTATTTGTTTGGGCTGCTATCACTAAATATCATACACTGGGTAGCTTATAAACTACAAAAATGTATTTATCACAGTTCTGAAATTTAAATTCCAGAATCTAAAATTCATGATTAAGGCACCAACAGATTCAGTGCCTGTTGAAGGAGCATTTCCTGGTTCACAGAAGGTAACTTCTCACTGTGTCCTCACATAGTGGAAGGGGCAAGGGATCATCGTCCAACCTCTTTTATGAGGGCACTAATCCCTTATAAAAGAGCCTAAACACCTCCAAAGGCCCCATCTTACTAGTAACACACTGGGGCTTAGGATTTCAAGATATGAATTTTGAGGGAGGGGGGCACGCAAACATACACACAATAGCATAACCCTACTCTACCCCAAGGCTTTCTCCAGTTTATTATTTGGTTTATTTTTAAATTGTTAATTGCTAATGGAAAGTTTCTTATTTATTCATTTATTTGCTTATTTTGCTTATATCTCTCCTTTCCCTAATCCCTAATAGAAAGTAAACTCCATGAAAGACATGAATGTTGTTTGTTGTTTTTGGAACTCTCTCCCAAATACACAATATGACCACCAGTGGTCACGTTATAGATAACTAATGAATACTTGCTAAATGAATAAAAACACCAGGTGTATTATTAGGTGATATACATCTATTCAAGGAGTAAGTATACCATAATGTCATAATTCCTTTTTTCTAGTTTAGGAAACTGAAAGCTGGGAGAGATTAGATAATTTGCTCAAGATCGCATGAGTAATAAAGTGCATCCATGATTTAAATCCTCATTTGTTCTGATTCCAAAGCCCTTGGCCTTTTTATTGAGTCCTGAATTTCTAAAGGTGACTTCATTTAATTGGCACAACATCCCTATGCAGTATCATCCTCTCCATTTTTTATAGACAAGAAAGCTTAGGCTCAGAGCAATCAATTTTTTTTTACCCCAAGTCACAGGTGGATTATGCTAGCATCAGAATTAGAAATCCACGTTATCTGACTTAATCACATGCTCTTCTATCTATCATGCCATCTCATCTTTCCTGTCACAGAACTAAAGTAAAAGCATTATATTATAAAACTTTAAGAACAAAATCTATTAAAGGTAAGCTATTAAAGGTGCTTATCTTTGTACTTACCTTTAAACAGGTATTAGGCATTAAATGTCTGCATTTGATATGCAGTACAAATGTTGATAACTGCCCTCTAAAAACCTCATCATCACCTCTTTATAAAACAAGTGGTGCTGTAATAGATCTTTTAGGGCAGTCCATGTTTGCAGGGTTACAGTTTCAGTCGTCTAGTTGGTGTGCCCACCCAGATTTGAACTTGGCAATAAAATCAGCATTTGGTTATAATTTTGTGGCATAGACTATTACCACTGGATGAAACACATGTTTTCCTCTTCATGGGTACACAGTTGGAAGACTAACATCATTTGTTGGCTCTATCTCATTATGTGTGGCCAGACTGAATTCCAGAATATGGAATATGAGAGGAAGTGGTAAGCACCTCTTCAAAGACTGGTCCAGGAAAACCTTCAGAGATCATTTTCCTTCCGACTGGATGAAATGGAAATGATCCCCCAGGTCACCTTGGAAGTGTCCATAAACCTGTACTCCAACACAGCACGGAGTAAGGCATCCTGCCAACCTGTTCTCTGGAGTAATACTGTGAGCTGAGAAAGAAATAGACCACTCAAGTCTGTTCTGCTACAATTTCTACAATGAATTAACTCATACAAGGTTGCTAAACAGGGGAATGATTTAGAATAATGTAGAGTGGTGTGCCTTTGTATCTGATATTTCCCAGCACATTAATGTTTTATGCCACAAATTAACAGCAGCAGAGCACCAACTCTCCTGATACAGCTTAACAGGATGAGTCATGGATGAATACAGAATTGTAACTTCCCATTCACTTCAGGTTTGTTCTGAGTTTGGTCACTTGCTCTGCATCACAAACTTTGGGTGGTCTTCTCTGGTGGCTGTGGTTGCAATAACTCTGAAAATCAATCATTCTTTGTACCCTTTCCATCAGGCTTATTCTACTACTTTTTCAAAAAGGTAGCTTCCAAGTAATTCTTACTTATTAGGAATTTAATGTGTATTTTCCAAGAGACTTTATTTTCTAGAGCAGTTTTAGATTCACAGCAAAATTGAGCAGAGAGTACAGAAACTTCTTATATACAACCTGACTTCACATCTGTATACGCGTCCCAACTATTGATACTCCCTATCACAGTGGCACGTTTGTTACAATCTATGAAGCTGCATTGACACATCATCATCACTCAAAGTTCATAGTTTGCATTAGGGTTCTGTCTTGGGTTCACTTTGTGGCTTTTGGCAAACATATAATGACATGTTTCAAACCTTATAGTATCATACAGAATAATTTCACTACCACAAAAATCCTCTGTTCTCTGCCTATTCATCCATCTTGCCCCTGTAACACCCAGAAATCACTGATATTTCTACTGTTTATTCCAGAGTTCTGCCTTCTCCAGAATGTCATATAGTTGGAAACATGTCTTTTTCAATGTATTAGTATTTTTTTCTTGTTTTTTAGTGTTCTGGTTACAAAATTCCACAGATTAGGAGGGGTCTGTCCCAATTCTGTTTTTTTCCCCAGTGGTCTTATTATTTTTAATGTGCAATTTTATAGAATGGGTTTTTATAATAGATATGTTTAGTCTTTACGAAAACACCTTAATTGAGTTTGAGCCATTATACATCTTTACATCTCAATGTTTCAAGAGTTAGCTTAAGCTAGTTTATACAGATCATTAACTAAAACCACTTTTACCCAAAGAATAAGGAAATTTTGAAGCAGTATTATTAGAAGCAGTGTAGCATAGTAGTTGTATGACCTTGAACAAGTCTCTAAATCTTCATTACTGTATCTGTCAAATAGATGTAAGAGGTTTCTTAAGTATTCAACAAAACAAGCTGTGAAATACACCTGGCTCAGTGTTGGTACACAGTAGTCACTCAACATTTCTACCGCAGTTTTTATCAGTGGCATTGAGATACTAGAATTCTGCCACTTCCTAGCTGGACAGCCTTAGGAATGTTTCTAACCTCTTAAAGTATCAGTTTCTTCATTTGTAACATAGAATTAATATTTTCATTGTTCCTGGGAGAACTAAGGGAGATACTACATGCGAAACTATTGACATGTACTGGATCACATTTAAGTCGAAAAAAAAATGGTATCCAAACACTGTTGTAGAAACAGTACCCACATTTTAAAAAATAGGTTTTCAGTGCTTTTTGAGTTACATCTTATAGATAACAACTGTCCTTGCATACATATCAGAATGGTTCCAGGGATAATCAATGAGAAGAAAGTGAGTCTGTAATCAGGGATAGACATGCCAAGCTTCAGAAAAAGAAACTTTTCAACTATAGTATTGTCCCCTAATTTACTCAGGGACATGTGCAGAGTAAATAACTCTAAGTTGGTAAATAATTTATTAAAATTATTTCTGGATTTTATTGTATTCAGTTTAAAGAACAGAGATAAGACAAATGACATACATCAAAATAAATCCCAGAATTTGAACATCAAAATAAATCCCAGAATTTGAGAATTAAGCAATAAAAACAAAGCAACTTGAAGAAACAACATGTGAATATTGATCAGTTATTGGTCTGCAGAAAGACTTTTTGAACATAATATTGTAGAAGAGAACCATAAAATAAAGTTGAACAAACATGACTTGCTGAAAATTTTAAACTTTTACTCAAATATTTCATTTCCTGTTCATCCCCCTAAAAGACAAACAACTGACTAATTCAATTAGGAAAAATATGGGTAGTATATATAGTAGCCAAAAATAAATAAGATTAATGGTGTTATTCTACTGGAATCTTTTCGATAAGAAAAAGAGAGATATCCAAATAAAAAGACTGGTAAAGGTGAAATTCAGATAATTCACTGCACAAATATTAAGCACCCAGTATATGCTAGATGGCATTCTAAGTGGTGAGAGTTAATACTGAAATAAATAAGATAGTCGTGTCCCCTCCTTTCAGGAAGCTTCTATTCTCATGAGGAGACAATTAAAAAAGCAAACAGGAGGAAATTACATAAATAAATTATATAATCTTAGGTGACAAACAAATGTTATGGGAAAGTAGGGGAGGTGGTTATAGAATAATGGAAGAAGAGGCTATTTAGGATGAGGAAGCCATATAGAAAGATTCTCTGAGGAGGCAGCATTTGGACAGAACAGAATGGAATGTGAAAGTGAGCCTTGCTAAGATTTGAAAGCAAGGATACATGACAGGTAGAGAAAAACCAACAGCATGATCAAGATCCTGAGGTGAAACCAAAGTTAGCATAGCCTAGGAACAGCAAGAACCATGTGGCTGGAGTAGAGTAATGTCAGAAAGATGGTTGGAAAGGAAGAAGGACCTGATCATATAGGGCTAGAAGGCAACGAGGCAATACATATATTTTTAAAATGACCTCACCTCATAAATAATAACATACATGCAGATTAAAAACATAATGAGAAATCATTTTACCTATTAAAATGGCAAGGATTGAATGATAACGCATATTGTTGGAAAGAATGAGTGACTGATATTTTCAAATCTCCTAGTAGAAATGAAAATGGGAACCACATTACTGGGGAGCAATTTGATAACTGCATCTAGAGGTTTAACACATATTTATATTTGACCATGGAATTTCAATTCTGGAAATTTATGTTGACAAAATTGAATAAATGTAGATATGTACACAGATATTCATATGTCCATACATTATCACTGAAAATAATACAACATTAAAATAAATGAAATGTACAATCATAGATTATGGCATTAGCATGGTACCACAACAATAAAGAACGATAAGCAGCAATAAAATGATGCTTTCACAGAATTTTTAATGAGACACAAAATACCCAAGATAATATGTTGAGGGATAAAAAGCAGGATATAAAAAACACAACCTTCATTTTATTTTAAAAACAATGAAAAAAATCAAGCAAGTAAGAACATTAGAATGGAAGTAATGATAATTACTGGAATGAAAAATTGTGTGTGATTTTAACTTTCCTCTTTTATATGCTCTGTGCTTTCCAATTTTTGTCCGATGATATTGTATCTGTTTTATAATCAGAAAAACACACAAATGTTGTTAAGAGAAGAAAGTTTACATCCAAAAACTTACTGCTTTAAAATATATACAATATGTATAATGGGTTATACTCACATTGATTTGTATGTTCAGCTTGTTTGACTGTAGACAGAATTAAGGTAAGAAAGATGCAGTAGTTCTCTGAATGTAGTTTTGAAAAAATCATCACAGTTTTCTAACATCATTTCAATAATTATGGATTGTTACATTGGGTAAGGACTATAGAGAGCACTTAGTCAAAATACTTTGTTTTATGGATAAGGAAACTGAGACCTAA
Source organism: Homo sapiens (assembly GCF_000001405.40). Taxonomy (NCBI): domain Eukaryota; kingdom Metazoa; phylum Chordata; class Mammalia; order Primates; family Hominidae; genus Homo; species Homo sapiens. Next base: position 104,180,223 of record NC_000011.10, on the reverse strand, counting down.
GAAAGATATGTGGTCTGCCAAGAACCCAACAATGAGTCTATGGTGAGAAATGGACTACAACTTCTTTTCTTTCTTCTCAGCCGATTTGCCAGTATTACAGAACACCTCCTCCAACCAAACAGCAACATGACCTACATTCTGAGTAAAAGGGATATGTCAGAAGAAGAATAAATGACTGGGAGAAACTTCTAGTGTGTAGGAAGAAATTGGCCCCTAGTGAAGGAGAAATGAGAATAGCAAAAAGACCATCAATTAGCAATCTGACCATCTTTGGACAGAACTAAGTGCCAAGATGAAAGAAAAAAAGAAAAGAATCATTAAGAGTCGAGACATGCAGGCTAGAGGAGCAGCCCCACAGAGCATCTAGTTTTATGTGAACAAATTCAACCAGAGCATGTACTTGCAGGGGCATAACATTTAGATTAGTGTAAAAGTATTTGCACTTTTGGCAAAAACCTCACTAACCTAATAGAAACCATTTATTCATTGGATAAAGAGTACTCAGTGATCTAGAACCTAGAGTGGTAGAGGTCAGATAAGATGTTACAGGTGTTAAGGTGGAGAAAGTGCATCACTAAGGATATTGCATTTCTAATTTCCCACTGGTTTTGTATACTGAAATTCCTTGTGCAACCATAGGCTGTTTTTGTACCTTACAAATCTTTAGATTGATAGTTTACCATCATTATTTCCGCTATCAATCTAAAAATCTTTGATAGTTCATCATCATTATCATTAGGCTTCATAGATATTTCCTACATGCTTGATATATTAGTTTCTCAGTGATATAACACATAGAATTGTAATGCGAGATCTATAGTACAATTTAGCAATTCTAGTATTAACACTGAATTCCAAGGCAGTTTGGATGGTACAATGAAGAAAAACATAGAAACTACCATTTAATATAGAAAATTTAATCTTATCACTTACTTACCTTGGACAAATTAGCTTCAGCTTCTTCATCTATGAAACAGGGAATAACATCCACCTAATAGAATTGAGGGGATAAAATGAGATAGGGACAGCATTTGAAATAAGAAGGTACAAGGTAAATATTAAAGACTCTGTATTCCTTACTTCTGAATGTGTACATTGCTTCCCTCATTTATCCCTTCCATTCTTTCCAAATGTAGTTAGAGTTCATTGAACTAGAACCCACTTATGGTTTTAATGTCCCTTCTGCAGAGCTGCAGTTTCATGTACCTTCAGTACTTGTTGACCAACTGTACACAGTGGAGATCTCTCACAACCTAAAGATGAAGGTGAAAGCTCATGCTGATGTGAGAACAACTGAAATTGCCCATGAAGCATTGGAATGGATTTCCACAAGCCTGACATGAAATCCTACCATAGATTTCTGCAGCTCTCAGTTCTAGATCAGAATTGTGTGTATGTGTATGTGTGGTCTGGTTACATAAAGAAAGGGGGATTCTTTTTGACATGCAAACTCACTGAATCAGTGGAATAATGAGCAATGTAATGATGGGTCCTACTGCACTTATTGACTAAGTGTGCCTTAGAGGCAGAGGCAAACCCACGGGAAGCCTTGCAAATTTCAATTTTCCATTCCTCCCCCACTGAGCATGCAAGTGAAATGGAAAAATAAATGTCAATTTGAGCTTTCTAATATATTTGGGGGAAAGGGAAATTAAGTTTGAGTGTAAAGTAATTCATTCCTTTTCTGCATGGCTATAATCTAATCATTTATTTGATGAAAATACAGATGATGAGAGTGGGAACCACAAACTGCTGACCCTATTCCATGTTTACAACCTGCAGTTACACACTTACGTTATCACTCGTTTATTCTTAGAAATCTATTTCCCTGTTTTACTTTTTTTTAAACATTAGTCATGTACATAAGAATCACCTGTGGAGCTTTCTAAATATACAAATTCCTGGGTCTGTCATAAACAACTGTGATTCAGGAATCTGCATGTTTTAACAAACATCTCAATTGCTTCTGATACAAATGGCCAGGACTAGGACATTTTGAGAAAACACTACAGGTGTCCTGTTTTTTTCTTTCTTGCTACTTCTTTCTAGTGAAGACTTCATCCAAGTTTGTCATCTTTCTCTTTATTGTTTTCCACTGAAAATATACTTTAATTTTCTTCAATTTGTAAAATGATCTCAGCTACATGTCTCAGCTATCTCTTTCCTCTGGCATTTCACTTTTCTTATTCACATGGTTAATATGAAACATCTTCACTTGGCTTTCAGAACACATACTTCCCTGCTTTTCCTCTCACGTTTCAGGCCATTTCTTCACCATAGGCTCTGTTGGTTGCTGTTGATCTCCTTCAGACTCTCCATGTTAATATGCACAGGGCTCTGTCCTTGTATATTTTCTCTTTTCTGTCAAAAATCACTTTCTAAGTGATGTTCTCTGTCTCATGACCTGTATATCCAACTGCCTTCTTGACATCTCCACATGGATGTCTAAAAGGCATTTCAAACTTTTCAGGCAACAAACTGTGAACCTGATAACCCTCTAAACCTAATTCTCCTTCAGTCTCCTCCATCCTTCCAGTTGTTTAGACCAAGATCCTTAGAATTATCTTTACCTTCCCTTTTTCTTATAGACTGTATCCAATACATTAAGAAATTCTAGTGACTGCACTTACAATTTTATTTATAATCCGAACCCATTTTATGTGTCCCAACTCTGCCACTCAGTTCCAAGTCATTACCATTTCTCACATGCATGATTTAAAGCTTCTACACTGATCATCTTCCTTGCTCTCATCCTCCCTTTCTGAGCTATGCTTGTTGAAGTAGCTGTTAAAATAAAAGAACATGTCACTCCTCAAAACCCAATGACTTCTCATCTCATTCAGAGCAAAACTCAAAGTCCGCAGCACGTGCCTCAATGTCCTACAATAATCTAACCACTAGTTGCCTCTCTATCATCCTGCTACTGCCCCACTTATTCCTTCTGCTGTAGCCACACTGATCTCCTCACCGTTCCTGGAACATGGTGGAATACTCCCACCACAGGGCCTTTGCAAATGCATTTTCCTCTGCCCATAATGTTCTTCTCTCAGATATTGGCATGGCTTACTCCTCCACATCCTTCAGCTTTTACTTAAAAGTCACTCTCGGGGAACATTTTTCTGGCCAACCTGTCTAAAATCTTAACATGCCCTTCCCCACCCTTAGCTATTAGCACTTCATAATTCATAATCCCTTCTCTGCTTCATTTTTTTAGCCTTAGCCCTTATTTTAACTGCCAGATATTCTACCTTTGTCGCCCGTATTTGAATGCTAGTTCCATAGGTGTTTTGTTTGATACTGTATCCCTAGCATCTAGAAGAGTACCTGACACATAGCAGGCATTCAAGACATGCTAGTTATTTAATGAGTGTATTTTTAATTCCTGGGGTCCCGCAATCCTCTCAATTTACTTCTAATATTTTCTGCAGTTATCTCCTTCACATTTTCCAACCTCTTTTTTTGCTCACATGAACATGTGTCAGTTTTATGTGACCAAATAAAGTGTTCTGTTTTTACCTTAATATTGTATTTACTGTTACTCAGGAGGTTGAGGCAGGAGAATCGCTTGAACCCAGGAGGAGGAGGTTGCGGTGAACCAAGATTGTGCCATGATTGCACTCCAGCCTGGGCAACAAGAGCAAAACTCTGTCTCAAAAAAAAAATGTATTTACTGTTAACAACTTTTACTATTAAAATGGTAGCCTTCACTTTTTTTAGTGCTTCCTGTGTGACAATTACACTCACAACCAACCTCTAATATAATGTTATTTCCCCATTTTATAGATTAGGAAAGTTATCTTTGAATAAGCTACCTGAGGTCATGTTTAGTGACCATCTTTTGGTTCTGCTTGGTTTGTCCCCAAAGCTGACAAGCTTCATCCATCAATCATGTTCTGCCCTATTATACCAATACCATACCACATGCAATTAATTGCTGCATCTTTGAAACACTTTCATATCCTAATTATGACACATTGTCCTCCCAACATTTACTTCATATGCATCCACCTTTGTTCTTTCATTTAATAGTAGTATCATAAAACCCATCTTGTATTTGCACTTCTCTTAACACTTTGTCGATAAGACTTTATTTACATAGTTTTTATGTCATTTGACTTCAAAAATCTCTCCCTCTCTTTCTCTTGCTTTATATATTTCCCTCCCCTAGATCTCTCAACAGTTAAACAAACATAAAATTTCAATCCCACTTAAAAAATGTGTCATATAAGCTAATGTTAATACTTATAGCCAATGTCAGCATAAAATTTGGATAACTCATTGTTTCAAATGAATTTTTGGCTCATTAATCTGGTGAGGTTATTTGCATAGTGAAAAAAGGGATTCACATATGTGCCAAGAATTTCCCCATAATTTTTTGTTGGGTACATGTATTTATTAGAATGATACAATAGAGGTAAAATTTTAAGGACAGGCAAATTTTAAAGGACACTGACATCTGCTTTTTTTTTTTTTTTTTTTTTTAGATGGAGTCTTGCTCTGTCGTCCAGGCTGGAGTGCAGTGATGCGATCTTGGTTCACTGCAACCTCCGCCTCTCAGGTACAAACGATTCTCCTGTCTCAGCCTCTCGAGTAGCTGGGATTCCAGTCACGCGCCACCACGCCCGGCTAATTTTTGTATTTTTAGTAGAGATGGTGTTAGGCTGTGTTGGCCAGGCTGGTCTTGAACTCCTGACCTCAGGTGATCTGCCCACCTCGGCCTCCCAAAGCTGGGATTACACGTGTGAGCCACCGTGCCCAGCCTCTGCATTTTTAATATGATATCTTTCTCCCATTTTTAATCATAAAGACTAAAGATAAGCTACCTGACATTAACAGAAAAAACCGACAGAAAAGTGAAAAAATCATGATAATTTAATATTTTACAAATTAATCATTTTCTTCTTACTGAGATTGAGTGCAGAAGTGGCTCATGAGGAGGTAGTAGCACCTCCACATAACAAAATTCTAATCCTCAATAAATATTATAATGCTCATGATTCTCAAAATAAATGTCCTTCCTTCATAATTCATCAACAAATCTTGTGAGGTTATGTTCTGTAAATCTCTACTTTCTTTAGAGGCAGCTTGAGCTTCACAGTGTTCTCTCTGCATTTTTATTAGAAAAGAGGGGAGGGAGAGAGACTGGATTATGAAGGCATTTATGCTAATTCATTACCTTCCCTACAGATGAAGATAGATTTTATAGTCATATTTCACTGAAGTATAACTTCCTTAATATATGGTAGGATTCTTATTTTTAATCACTCCCTATGAAAAGAAAAAAAGGTTAAAGCTGCTGATTTATAAAAGAGAAAAATGTATAATAAATTAAAAGGAATATATATTCTTGAGTTTATAATTTTTTATGCTATGGAATAGCAAATCTAGTGAACTATAACACAACCAACAACCAGTGATGAGGAAGAACAAAAGAAATGAAAAATATGCAGGCAGCTTCAGTCAATGAATACTCCAACGTAGACAAAAATCTCATCACAGATGTTATAAAAGTCATGCATCAGATTTTCAACCAACAGCTGATCAGATAATTTCCAATTCTTACAGCAATAATTCTTTAATGTATTTTTCTCAACTTTATTTTTCTCACTATCATCACTAGCATGTGTCAACCAACATACTGAAAAAAAATCAATTAGATTACAAGTGGTTAAGGCAAAGTATATTTTAGTCACTTTATAAACATCTTTCAATCTGTTCAAGTTTTTTATGACTTCATTAGTTTGAAAACACATCTATCTCATAGAAAATAAAAACTATTGAGTATAAATAGGTTATTGAATTCCTTTGAGAAATATGATACAAGTATAGATATTTTAGAAGTCTAGCATCCATTAGGCAATTAAAATGGTTTTACATAGTTAACATGCAGTCTTAAGATATGTCATTAGTTTGTGTACCCCTGAGAAAGAAAAAGAAGCTTTCAAACTAGTCAAAGGTTTGTTATCTTTAGAAATGTTGTGCTTATTCAAAGAAGTCTTTCATATTTATTTATATGTACTTTTAAAAAATCACCCTTATGCATAAATAAAAATGAAAATATGATACGGTTTGGCTCTGTGTTCCCACTCAAATCTCACCTTGAATTGTAATAATCCCCACATGTCAGGGGAGGGAACTACAGTGGAAGGTAATATAATCATGGGGGCAGGTTTTTCCCAGGTTGTTCTCCTGATAGTGAATAAGTCTCACAAGATCTGATGGTTTTATAAAGGGGAGTTCCCCTGAACATGCTCTCTTGCCTGCCGCCATGTAAAGCATGACTTTGCTCCTCATTCACCTTCCGCCATGACTGTGAGGCCTCCAAGCCATGTGGAACTGTGAATCAATTCAACCTCTTTCCTTTATAAATTACCCAGCCTCAGGTATGTCTTTATTAGCAATGTGAGGACAGACTAATGCAATATATTGGCTTAAGTATTAGTGAAACTTCTTCTCATTCAGAATCTAACTCTCCTGAATCATGTTTGGGTTGAGAATCATTGAATTCCATGTTTTTCCATATAATGTTATTTTCCGGTCCATTGAAAGTGTTGATAATGCTGTACAGCATTTATTTTTAAAATGCTCCACTATTATCTTTGAAGTTTTCTCCTTATCCATTAACAATCATCCCGTCTGTTTTGATACGTGGGCTTTCTTTATCATACCTGAGGCATCAAGTGATGTTAACTATGTTATGACTGCCACTTGGCCAAAAGGGTTTGACAGATGCAATCAACTATAAAATTTACACTGATTTCAGAGCTGTTTACAATTAGAAAACAACTGCATCTTAGAATTGATTATATATGGCATACTATTTGCCAAATACACTCGAGACAATTTCTATACAAAAAGTTTATTTTTACATGTAGTCCACATTATCTTGTAGTGTTTCAGTATTCTCACCTCCCTCGCTTTTCTGGTAGTCTTCTTAAATATAAGGTTTAGTTTTTCAGTGCACCCCTCCAAATACTGGCCATAGAATTCTATTTACAAATGAGTCCAAATTGGATGTCTTTCTAATTCATAATTTCTGAAGTTAATGTCTAATATATTGGGGAAATGTTGAATTAAGCAAAGTTAGCAGGATTCTTTAATACAACTTTCTCAGATTCTTTAATATATTGATGTACATTGTGATGGTTGAACAGTGGCAAATTATGTAGCAATTCTGAAAATTATTTGTCATACAAACTTTTTAAACACGATATGTTAAGAGACTTGTGTTTTGAGGAACATCTTTTTGAAAACGACTTTTACAGTTTTGAAAAAGACTTTTACATATATTTTACACATGATTTCTTTTTAATTTCTTGTGTTTGCGCTATGGCATTCTAAATTTCTGGAAACTTAGAGTCAAATAAAATTTCAATACAGGTAATTCCATATTTATACAGGATTAACAGAAAAAGAGATGGTCATAATGTTAATTTTTAAGACAATGAAATAACATGTAAGAACAAACATATTTGCCCTTGATTATACAGTGTAGTTACTACATTTCTATCACATACATTTGTTGGTGTTGTGAAATGACCTAAACCAATGTGACCATGAGGCAAATGCTAGGCTTTGGGGGTAAATATTGGTAATTTCTGACAGTCAAGGTAGATTATGGCTAAATGTTCTCTCTCCCAAAACTTTACTACCAGTTGTTACATTACAATGAGAGCACATATGCCACACATATAAATATTATTAGTAAACAAGGATAAAAGAATCAATGGTTCTTACAGCTGCTCTGGCACCTGGGAGCAAGTTTAAGTCTGCTTAGGCACTTGAACCAGCACCTGGCATGATAGGTTCATGGTGAGGTGAACATGGTGGTATCCTGGCAGTAGGACCAGGTGGCTTTCTAAGTGGGTTGAGAGACAAGGTATTCTGTGAAGTGAGGGATACAGGTCCAACTGGGCTCCACACCAAGGGCATCCAACTGTTGACTGTGTTGATTCCTATACCTCATGCAGCCAATAGCAGCAAGCTTGACTTCTTACCAACCACATATATTAACACCATTCATTACACTGATGAACAATCACATCTAGTATTGCTTATATAAATTAACAGTCATCTTGTATATATTTAGATAAAGATATATGAAGTACTAAGCACTCAACTCCTAGAGTGTTGATTTTGAACCAAGTTTTTTTTTTAACACATTTTATATTGGATCTAACTTATACACACACACATCTATGTCACATTCTTAACATTCAAGTATTTTTAAAGTGAATGTCCATTTTGACAATGTAAAACTTTGCCATATTAAACAGAATACAGCCAAAGGAATTTTAAATGTATGGTAATTTGGCACAATGATTACAGGTTTCAATTAGTAGAAAATTCTATAAATATCCATGAGTCCAAAAGAGATATATGAGGCTGTTTATAAGATACACACACACACACACACACACACACACGTATATATAGATGTAACTGTTTACATGCCATATATATATCTATATCTATATATAATACAAGGATGTTTTAAGCCTTAAATAATCCTCAAATTACCATGTTGAATTTTTGGTTCCTCTTTTTTTCTGCATTTAAAAAAAATCCTCCCTTACTCTAAATTCTCCCTTATTATTCTTTATGCTCCACCCTCTAGTTTACTACTTACTGGAGAAACCAGCTATTAAAGTTGATTAAAATTATGTACAAAATGACAAAGCTGACTCTGAATTAGGGCTTAAAGGTTTTCCACAGAATGAAGTATACAGACTTTCCACAATGATCTTTGGAACATCTAGTTTGGCTGCTCAGAAAATGCTCCTCAGTTTTGCTATAGTCCTTTGGATTGCTGAATAAGTTATTTTCGAGACAATATTTTTAAAATTATACCAGATTTCATCAGACTTAGTTTTTTCATTTTTCTGTAGTTACGTTAAATCTCAAAAATCGTACAACTTTCCTGAGATTTTTAAAATCAATATTCTGTTAGAAAAACAATTATAACTTTACTGCATTAGGTAAAATTATACTTACTGTTATAACACTGTTGAAGATGTTGGCCATATTAACAGAATAATAATTCATATATTTTTCTATTCTCAATATAAAATCATCCTTGTATATGCTGCGGACCATATTAAGAATGTTGCCAGGCTGTAATAAATTCTTACTACACTTCTAATAACTAAAACGCTTGAAAAGAATCTGAAATAGAACTACTCCAAATTCCCGGTTGTATTGTATATGATATGATTATTGTTCAAAAACTAAATCTTGGGGAGATACGGTTATAGAATCACAAAATCCTACAATTGGCAAAAACTTTTATGGCCTTCCAAAACTTCCCCTCAATAAACGTACTTCATTTTCAAAACTCCTGATATTTATGCCATTCCCAATGTAATGCTTTTAATAGTTAAAGAATATCCTCTGTCTTAAGACACAATTTATTTCATTGTTAAACTGCTCAATTCGTTTTTTTATAGAGTCTATTAATTTGAATATGTCTTCTAATAAATCCCTTCCATTAGTTCCATATACATTATAGAGGAGGAACAGTTTATTTATTCTTCCATATGATAGATCTTCATATTTTCAAGTATTTAAAGATAATTTCTATGTCTCTTTGTACCCGTTACCCCCACCCCAAATCTCCTACTCCCACTCATCTCAAACCTCTATCTTCATAGTTCGTAAGATATGGTTTCCACATAGATAATTCACTATTCTTATAGCTTTAACGTATGTATATTAGTGTTTCTACATCTTTCTTTCTGTAGGGCACCTAAACATATTTAAAAGATGAGCCATTTAAGAAACTATAGTTTAAGAAACTAAGACAGAAATTTTACCCTCATTACTTTGAAATAATCTGCTTCTTTTCTATGGTTTTCCACATCCTTTCTTTGTTATTTTTAATTGTTTTCTACTTTGTCCAGTCCTTTCTTGAGATCTCATCTCATTGATTGTTCCACATGAAATCATAAGCTTGCTTATTTCTTTCATTCTTTCTGAGAGGTTTAGCGTTTCCTGCCTCCGAAATGGCCAAAAAACCAGTTCGAATTGGAGGTGGCTCTTCATAGCTTTGAAACTGCTCTATGCTCAAACATAAAAAGTATAATCATGAAACTTATGTCGTGATCTTTCAAAGATACCACATTATTTTACACTTCAGGGTTATTTTAATTAGTCAATCAGTATGTGATGCTGAAAAATACTCAGAAGATTATGCTGATGTGACTAGTCAATGTTGTCTAGTCTTGATCAGAATCTCCCTTTTGGGGCAAGTTTAAAATTTTCAAATGAGAGACTTTCACAGTCTACTCAGGAAACAAATTGTTCGTGGCACACACACACATACACACACACACACACACCTCACAGAGTAATTAGAGTTGGTATGAAATGATGTAATTTATTTCTATCACAAGTTAGCTTATTAAAAGTAAACTGCATTATTCATTTGACACAACACATTCAATATTATTTTTCTCTTCCATAGTGCAATTTGTTTTGTTTTCATAGACTGGATATAAGGAGGGAAGTACTGAATGATAACAAAGACTTTAGAACACAAAAGATGGCCTCAACCCCAATCAATTAAAAGCAATTTTTTATGAAGGAAAATACATATCAGAAGAGTAAAATTAGTGGTAGAGAAAAAAGAATCAGATAATTATTAAAGTTTAAATATTCCCTCAAGTTTTAAATATTATCTTACAAATAAGACAATAAATTCAACATTGGCTCCACTCCAAAGGAGAATAAGTGTGTAATGTAGAATTTCAAGGGACATAAATATAAGAAAAGATTTTCTTTATAGAATTAAAATTCTCACACATAGAAAGGAACATCTAAAGACTCAAAAAACAATTTCTTGCTTAAAAAACAGCAAAGTAAGAGGAGAACTTGAAGTGTGAGAGTAACTGGATATAAGCCAATCTCATAAAGAGTGCAGAATTCTAAAGGAGACTGGCAGACATCCCAGATCAATTAAGGAAGAAATCCTGCAGAATAGGCACATATCCATCTTTGAAACTTTAAGTTTAGATAATGCAGCTCAAAGATGGGTAAATGGAAATAAAAAATGCAACTAAGCTGAAGAAAAATTATAGATATACAGATTTTTTTTCATGCCAAACTTATAACTAAGTAACTCATCCTGTTAAACTGAATTACTAATTAATTCCATGAAGTGAAGGAAAACTAATGCTTGACAGAACAGATTATCTGACTGACAAATTGGACCTATTTCTTGTCAAAAGGTCAACCTGATAGCCTCAACTACAACCAATATTTAATGATTAAATCTAGAAGTTACTGCTCAAAATGTGTCAGCACTGTAACTGGATAAATTGTATTTAACATTGCTATATAGGATGCTAGAAATATGTGGTGGTTGTATATATACATTAATGAAATATACTATGTATATAAGCCACAGAGAGTAATATAAAGTGAAAACACCTGGACTTATGATTGTATTGACATGCCCTATGGTACTGTTCTTCAAGTTAAGACTCGGAAATAGAAATAGGCCTGCATTTGAGTCTATCAAGCAGGAAGAAACATCACTACTAATTGTCTTGTATTTTTATGGTAGACATTTAGTGTGTGCCACTAAAATTACAGTTTTAAAGAAAAATATCTAATAATAAGAAACTCAGTGTCATGGCCTGTTGAGGAAAGGCAATACTCAGGTCATGGATTTCTTCACCAATAATTAGGAAGAGTCAATTAATGCTGCTTTGAAATAAATAATAAGTTTCAGTACCCCCAAAAGACTTAATTTCAGAGTCATTTTCTGCCTCTTTACACACAGAGAATGTAATGCTTTTAAGAAAAGATCTTACAAAGTATTTTAGAACTGTTTTATGATTAATAATAATAATAAAAGGACAAATGTGATACATGTCGCAAAAAAAGTCAGTTAAAACACAAAAGAGTTTTACAAAAGGGTAACTTTGTTCATAGAAAAGCATTGGGTGGCTTGGATAAGGGTATGCTACTTACAGATGACTCAATGTAGTTTAATAATGTATTTTACACATGCTTGTTACAAAACATTCTGTAACTATGCTGTTATTGTAGGCTGTTAAAGTCATTTGGCACTATTGAGAAAAATTAACATAGTTTGTCATTTTATGAATATTTAATTTCATTCTTTAGCACCCAGTATATTTATACATTATCTTCTTTAATGTTGAAAATAAGCAAAATTTAATCCAGATCTTCCTAGCCAAATCATTGGTCAAAATCATTTTACTAATTATCTTAAATCATCAATGTTGTCTTTTTTCTAAACTTACATCATAATTTTAATCAACTGTATTTCATTTATTTAGTTAATTCTGCCACAAAAAAGTTCTCATCTAGATTTTTATACATTTGAATAATTGATTCTTTAAAAGAAAATACAAGCTTGAAAGCAAAAGTAACTATTAATATTAGATGGAAAACTAACATTTTGGCTTCATTTAGGTATATATTAGTTAATAACATTTCAAAACATCACCTTATTAAAATTTGTAGAAACATTTAATTCTCATATATAACCAAACTTTCTAACAACTATTTGAAATGTACTTGAGCATGACAAGCTACACGTTTATCACATGGTAAAAAATTATGAGTGAAATCAAGATTTATATAAAACAAAATAGTCAGAATTCTGAAAGAATTATTGAAGGTGATCTAGCATAACACTCCCATTTTACAAGGAGGTATTAAAGTCCCATGAAAGTTCAATATTTACTAAGCTCAACAGTCTACTGGTAGAGCAAAAATTAGAATGTCATTTCATAGTGCTTTGTTCTCTCTGAGATCTAGTGAGTGCAGGATGAACAACAGAGGAATGTCCTTTTTGAATGGAGTAGCCGTCAAAAAATAACTACTATTGTCAAAATAAAGTTACAAGTTAAAGACTGGTAGAAGTTTAGTTAAAAAAATAGCACTGGGGTGAGCCACTTGCAGAGATGAGAAGACTACAAACATCATGCCACATTTCATTTCTTTTCCACTGGGGCTTTCATTGAGTAGTGAAACAAGCCAAGGATATTTGAAAATGTAATGGAAAACACTACTCTTGTGTCCTATTAATGAAATGAAAACAGCACATGATAAAAACAGTGTCACATACTAATCTACTCTTTATCAAGTCCTCATTACCAGAATATTTGTTCGAAATAAATGCCATTATACACGGACCTATTAAAAGTTGATCTCATGTTTTTAAAAATTCTTCTACGCAATAGATTTACTTTTGTTTTAGTTATATGAATGTCATTGAACAATGGCTAAATATAGAATAATTGACTTATGTTAGTCTGAATAGTAATAAATATTTATAAATCTGACTTCATTTTGTTGGCTCATGTTCTTCTAACTGACCTATAAGCATTCAAAATGTAGTGGTAAATTCACTATTTTGGTGAGTCTGAGATACATGTAAAAAATAAATTGAAACAATCTTCTATCTTTGTACCAGACCTTTCTCACTAAAAGAATATTTTTATTAAATAATATTCTGTGTACAATGATACCTCAGTTGATATGATCAAACTAATTAGTAAGAATTAATTATTAGATATTTTAAAACCAGGTCCAGAATAATTGGTTGGGTTCAGGTGCCTAATTTGTGTTTTATTGTTGATTTTGGATATTTACTGACATTAAAGATCAAGAACATGTTGATTATATGTGATATCCCTTACTATTCTTACCTAAAATATTTGAAATTATGAATTCACAATGCCTTGGGAGCTCAAAGTATTAGTATCTTGGAAAACACTACATTGAATATTTAAAATTCATTATTTTATATAAGATATTAAGACACAATTTTAGCATTTTGATACTTGTAATAAGTCAGTATCTTGATACATGTCATAATTACATAATTATAAGTCATTTGCAAATTTTCTCCGTTTTTCTATAGTCTCATATCAGAAGCTAAGTATGAAATTGAATGAGCATTTCCAACCACTTCTAAAAAACGATATCACATATTTCAATTAGTCCCTACTCCTATCCCATCTATCTCTACCCCTTTTCACTTATTAACACAGTTACATACTTACTTGTTTATGTTCCCTTTCCTCTATTATAATGTAAACTCAAAGAGATTAGGAACTTTATTTCTTGTTCACAATTTAATCCCCAAGATTTTTAGACCAGGGCATAACACAAGGGGAAAAACTAATGCTTAATTAATACCTGTTGAATGAATAAATGATCCTTAGTGTCTCTCCCAGGGTTTCACTATATCCTGAAACAATGTAATTAGATCTTTTTTTCCAGGGGCTTTCAAACTTTTTTGATCATGCCCCAAAGAAATAACTATTATATTGTAGTGTTCGTGTATCTGAAACAAAATATTCATAAAACAATATTATTATCTCCAATGAACCCTGATAATTAAATTTCTAAACTATTGTATTCCAATCCATTTATTTAAACAATTATTCTGGTATTGAAGTTGATTTCATGGCCCACAAACCTAAATTTTGTAAAATACCATTTTAAGCCAAAAAGCCAATAGAGATGAAACATGTTGATCTTTGACTATGTTGAAGGGACACATGAACCCTCGTCCTTGTTGGATGGTATAATAACTTGACAAGGCTACCTTTTCCAGAACTTCCTGCCCTTCTCAGCCACTTAAAGTTCCCTATGTATGGATATCACTTACCATATGCCAGACTTTCAGGAGCTGGAAGGCCTGAAAAAGACTGAAAATTTTCTCTTCTAGATCTCATCAGCGGAAAATTGAGAAATCATATAAATTTGGATTTGGATTCAGCTACAAACAAAACAATATGCTAAACATTTTTTCACATCATTCTCACCACAACCATACAAATTAACAATTGCTACTCTTGCAAATAAATAAACTGAGTTTCGAAAGATCAGATGATTTGCTCAAGGGGACAAAGCCAGTGAGCAGCGAGTCTGGACTCATTCCTTTTCCAAATACAGTCCCCTCCCATGGGCAGACAGACACACGATGTAAACCAGAGGCAGCCCCTTTCAACTGCTGAGCTTCCAGACGCAGAGTAGGGAGAATCCCAAAAGCCTCAACGACCCATGCCTCTTCCTATGGACTGTGAAGGCAAGTGAGCACAGTGTTCTGCAACTTCTTCCCCTTGCTCAGTCTGTTCCTGCTCAACCCCACTCTGTCCTGTTGCCCTTTCCTGTGGAAGGGCTGGAGCTAGTGCATATAAAAACGCTCGTGAAGACTTCTTGCCCTTATTGTACACTGCACCACATGGCCCATCACGTCTACAGCCCTGTGTGATAGGTGGTTCATCTTGCTGCACCCTAGAAAAGGCATTTTGGTGTCCAATACTCTCTGGTACCAGGATGCCCTGACTCATCCTGGAGTTCGCGAAAAGTGAAAGCTACGCCATCCCTCCATCAGTCTCGACCTTTTCTCGGGCATTTTTGATAGATGGAGGGACTCAAGAGTAGCTTTCTCTGGGTGATATACTTTTATTTTTATTTTATTCCCTGAAAAGGTACCCTTGACTCACCCAAAGGTCACACTGATGGGAGCTCAAAGAAAAGCTCGGAATTAAGCTCCTTTGTGATTGTATTTTTTCACTATAAACAGTGAAATTTTAACTAAGTAGAGTCTCATTTTGGTTATTGTAAAATAAACACTCCCAACTCCAGTCCCTGTCCCCACATCCCACCACCATCAAGGCGGAGAGCTGTGGCTTGTGGGTGGATGTGCCAGTCACCTCTGAAGAAGTGCTGGGATTCTACCCTCTCCCACTTCCTCCTGGCGAGTTTGTTTCCTGAGCCCTTACAGGTCCAACCAGGAGGGTAAAGCCCAGGGCGGTGGGAAGAGTCCCGGCCGGCGATTAAACTGGGCATGCTCAGTGGCAGAGCAGGTTTAGGCCCGGCCTGGGAAACTGGGGAGCTGAGGTGCTCGCGCCGCCGCTCTGAGCCCGAGTGCGCGCCTCTCAGGGGCCGCGGCCGGGGCTGGAGAACGCTGCTGCTCCGCTCGCCTGCCCCGCTAGATTCGGCGCTGCCCGCCCCCTGCAGCCTGTGCTGCAGCTGCCGGCCACCGGAGGGGGCGAACAAACAAACGTCAACCTGTTGTTTGTCCCGTCACCATTTATCAGCTCAGCACCACAAGGAAGTGCGGCACCCACACGCGCTCGGAAAGTTCAGCATGCAGGAAGTTTGGGGAGAGCTCGGCGATTAGCACAGCGACCCGGGCCAGCGCAGGGCGAGCGCAGGCGGCGAGAGCGCAGGGCGGCGCGGCGTCGGTCCCGGGAGCAGAACCCGGCTTTTTCTTGGAGCGACGCTGTCTCTAGTCGCTGATCCCAAATGCACCGGCTCATCTTTGTCTACACTCTAATCTGCGCAAACTTTTGCAGCTGTCGGGACACTTCTGCAACCCCGCAGAGCGCATCCATCAAAGCTTTGCGCAACGCCAACCTCAGGCGAGATGGTAAGAGACTCATTTTATTTTTTAACTGAAAAAAAAATCATGTTTGCTATTGTTATTGTTCTTTCTATGTTTTTCCCCTTTCTTTTTGAATCTTGAATGTGAACTCGGGCTGAATGCATTGTTTGGGGAGGGAGGTCTCCTGCCTGTATCCAGTCCTGAGAGAGCTCCATTTCCGGAATGGGACTGAGAGGTGTGGGACGCGTGCTGATGGGGATAGGATAAGCCAGGTGGCTCACCTTGCTGCACCCTAGAGAAGTCATTTTGGTGTCCAAGCCTCTGGTACCAGGATGCGGTGCCTCATCCCGGAGTTGGCGAAAGTTGCAAGCTGCGCCGCCCCTTGGTCAGACTCAACCTTTCTTAGGCAATTTTGATAGGTGGAAGGAGTCAAGAGTAGCTTTCCCTGGGTGATAGACGTTTATTTAAATTTTATTTATTTATTTATTTATTTTTACGAGTGAGAGGAGAAATCGTGCGTTTCAATCTAGCAGTTATATCTGGAACAGTGACAATTTACTATTTATTTTCGGGAAATGGCAGTGTGCAGCCTATTGCCCTTTAGGTCCCCTAAGTGACTTTCCTATTGAAGTTCACCCTGACTCAGAAGCTCAGAGTGTAGGAGACCAAGGCTTCTGGGGTTTCATCAGTACCACAGGGGCACCAGGCTTCTGCTGCTAGTTTCCTTGCAGAAGCGGCTTCCAATTATCTACAAGGAGCACAGCTCCTGAAACAGCTGTCCTAAGCAAGGTCCCAAGCCAGCTTGTTTGTTTTCCTTTACTCTAGAGGACACCTGGGTCACTGGTTCCAGAGACCCTAAGCTGAGTTTATTTACTTTCTGGGGCCTCCACCTAAAACTGTAGCTGATGTTCCCAGCAAATTTTAGCTGTTCTGCCATGTACCTGAACTGACCCATAGGCTTTTGGATCTTGTTTTTTCCTACATCAGTATCTTTCTCTCCTGCTTGCTTAAAGTACTAACACATCTCCCAAGGAGACCATCAAGCAATTGTTGATGGCTTCACAGTTTCAGCTGACAGTATTTGACTGTCTTGGTAAATTCCTATTAGCCATCTTATCAGTTTCTTTCTTGGTATGTCCTTAATTTGGAATTTACTAAATGACTTTTGGACTTTGCAGGGAAACCAAAATTTCATTATGTTATCTGATGATGAGTAGACTATGGATATCAGTGTACTCGTCACCTGAAGTGGTGTAGATTTGTAGCAGGGGAAGCCACAGAGTCATCTTACTTTTTCATAGCGTTTTTATGTAAAAGATTCCAGCCGTGCATTTTTGGTAACTCTCTGTCTTAGTTAAAAGCACGTAATTTATTTATTTATTTATTTTTTTACTACACTTAAGGATTAGGCCCAACACCAAACTGTGTGGTTTTTTGTCTTTACTCTTTAATGTTTCCACTAGGGACAGATCTTGTAGGTTTGTTATTAGTTGCACTTTATATGTCCTTTTAGCTACATAGAGTAAAATTCCACTTGTAATTTGCATGACTTCATAGCCATAATTTTGTAATCCTCACCCTCCCAAGTATCAGTTACAAGAAGTCAAGGACAGAAAATGAAAAGCATGTAACCATTGCCCATTAACCCAAGATTCTGACTAAAACCAAGTTATGTAGCTCAGCAGGTTTTTTTTTTTTTGAAAGAGAATAATCTCATTTTAGTTTCCATTGTTAAAACTCTATACATCTCCATACATCTGTTCAGTCTATATGGGAAATGCTATGTTTCATGAAAGCTTTAAAAACTACCCTGGATTTCTCATTTCTTCATATTTCAGTTAAAACTGTTTTGCAGTTACTTTAACAGTACACACACACACACACACACACACACACACTCTCTTTGATTAGTTCTGATTGCTCAATACTTTCCTCAATG
This sequence comes from Homo sapiens, assembly GCF_000001405.40. NCBI lineage: Eukaryota > Metazoa > Chordata > Mammalia > Primates > Hominidae > Homo > Homo sapiens. Next base: position 104,161,909 of record NC_000011.10, on the reverse strand, counting down.
TCAATGTCATCTTACAAGCAAGACTAGGAAGGAGAAAAACGTAGTTACACATTAAAATTTGTTTTATATAGAGTAAAAAATGTTAATATTCATAATGGATTGTTAGTTTAGAAAATTTTCAAATGGCAGCTTTTTCCTAAATGAGCATGCATTCTTCAAGTGGGGCAATATTGTCCCCAATGGGGTGCAATTAGATCTTAGAGGGTGAACACAATCTTAGATATTGCAACGGTCTGTGTTCCTTCAAAGGGCTAGCAGATATAAATAGATATACATTTCTGTGGTATTACCATTCACAAGGAGGGAGAGTGATCAGAAAAGAAGTCTAAAAAGAGTCTTTAAGGGATGGAGGTTAGCAATAGTGAAAAAATGGTTGAGAAACATTGGCATAGAGTTTTGGTGAAAGAGTAAGAATAATGGGGCTATGAAAAATTCTAGACAACACTTGGGAAATCTTAATGGCCATAGCTGACAGAGAGAAAGTATAACTTATTAAATTAAAACCTTGTTCTGATTCCAGACATTGTCAACCTGCTCTCCCAAATTTTTCTAATGACTCATTGAAGACGACAATATTCTTGCTCATTTGACTATCAGATTAAGACATGATAAAAGCTTGAGGAGGACATGAACATGGAATATAATCAGGAGAAAAATAGAAAATGAAAGTTTCTAAACATTAATTTAGGGTCTTTAGAAGACCTGGCTCTCAGATTGCAAATTATAGGAAATCACAACAAAAAATTAGAAGTGACCTTTGAATAGGAGTTTTAGAAACCATTACCTGATGATAGACATACTTGAAGGCTTTTCATTTGTTCCTGCTGGACTTGTTAGTTGCTGCTTAATGTTGGGATGAAGAAAGGAGCAAAAAAGCCGGGTGTCCTGTTCAGGGCATGAGGTGTGTTTTATCCTGTCCAGCCTAATACAGTAAAACCCCACAACTTCTTGATATACTATGCCTAATAGCTCCAGATACCTGGAGTAGCTAAGAAATGATGTGGAAATACATAATGTTAGGGTTGTCGAATGATAGTCTGCTTCTACCCATTATAAGAAGCTGATCTGCTGCTGTGTCCTGGCCTTCCGGAACTCTCCATCATAGGGTATTCTTGTTCTGAAGGTATATCTGCAGAGCCTTTCTACCTGTAGAATGGCTAAATGTGGCCCAATGAAGGAGGGTAGTTGAATTTGTTGCCCGTCTCCAGGAGAACATGAGGCTCTATAACTAAGAAAGATTAAACTATAATAATTTACAGTACTTAATAGAATGTTTACATTTCCTTATATCGTATTTATTATTCTCGCTCAAACTGATTTACTTTTGATACCCATTTCTGCCTCTAGTCACAAAGAAAATCTTAATTTAGCAGTAGCATCTATGTATTCTAATTTTAGTGCCTACACAGTTGGTGCTTTTGTAATAATAACTGGCCAAAACTAAGTGTTGCTCAGTGTGCAGATTAAGAAGTGTAAAGGTAGCAATTAACTGCAATATTACTTACTTATTTTAAAATCTAACTAGATGGAACTTCCTGCCTAGGGGCTTTAGAATACAGATGCATTCTTCATTTCATTTTCTTGACCTTTTGTTGCGTGTAGAAAGTACAGGTGTTGGTGGTAAACAATTCTGAAATTAGTTCTCTTTGGTTAGTATAATAGTATTGAATCATCTGTTACATTATCATTATCTAGTGATAGGCCTGCAGTTCTAGTAATTGTGCTGCCTTAGATTTTAAAGTAGTGAAGCTTGTTTCTTAATGTGGTTTCTATTGTCATCGTTGATGATAGCACACTGACTTAAGTACAAAGATCAGAGCTTAAAGGGAAGGCAACACAACAGAGAACAATGTCAATAAATTATTTTTAAAGAGTCTGAAAGCAAAGAATCTCTTCTGTGTATTTTTTGTTCAGCTCTAAGGATATTAAAGTCTATAATCTTGTAAAGCATAGTGGTGATTACATATTTTAAATGTAACCTGGCATTGACTTGCCACCATGGATAATATCATTTTATAGAAACTTTTTTAAAGAGCAGGGTTTAGCCAGGTGTCTGTGTACTATGTAGTGGAGGATGCTACTAGGTTGTGAGTGACATTAATGACCATAATGAGTTTATTAAATGACAGTGATTTTTGCTACAGGATTTTCCCTTTCAGTGAATGAAAGCAAAACTGTATTGTTTCAGAACAAAAGAGTCAAACAATGGAGCCCAGCCCACAGAGTCACTGATCTCTAATAATAAGCATAGTTATTATTACTAGTAATATAAACTAGTAATAAGCATAAGCTTGATGTCACGCAGAACTCTGAGCATATGTGGTCTCACAGCCCTATCACTCTAAGAGTCTAGAAGGATATGCATATTTCTGTCTCTGTCCTTAAGAGCTGAGTCATAATGTAAATTATCTTCCTTCTGGAAATTACTCTTGAACTTTCTATGTTGAAGTCAGGTTAGTGTAAAAAGGCAGTTCTGGAACACCTTAATAAAATCCTTCCCTTTATTAAAATAGGAAAATCTTTTAGATGGATGAACCAGGTGTAGAATGTGTCTACCTCATCTGCGCCATGCCATTCAGGGAATACATTGATCTTTCTAAAAGGATTAAGATGACTTGAGAGTGAAGGTGAGTTAGTGTCTGAGCTACCTAGCCTCTTTCAAGGCTCTCTCTTTTCAGATCATTCTTTACTTGATCTTAACTGCCTTCTAAAGATGAAAGGTAGCAGACAAATAGTTTTTTTTTTTTTTTTTTTTTGAGATGGAGTCTGCCTCTTGTCACCCAGGCTAGCGTGCAGTGGCATGATCTCGGCTCACTGCAACCTCCGCCTCCCAGGTTCAAGCGATTCTCCTGCCTCAGCCTCCCGAGTAGCTGGGACTACAGGCGCCTACCACCGCCTCGGGCTAATTTTTGTAATTTTAGTGGAGACGGGGTTTCACCATCTTGGTAAGGCTGGTCTTGAACTCCTGACCTCGTGATCCACCCGCCTCGGTCTCCCAAAGTGCTGGGATTACAGGCTTGAGCCACCGCGCCCTGCCAAATAGTTCTTTATCATAACTTCTACTGCTAACCCCTGCTATAACTATTATTCATGTATTCAATGAAGGCTGAAGTGCTGTGGCGAGATCTCGGCTAACTGAAAGCTCCACCTCCCGGTTCACGCCATTCTCCTTCCTGAGCCTCCTGAGTAGCTGGGACCACAGGCGCCTGCCACCATGACCGGTTAATTTTTTTGTGTTTTTAGTAGAGACGGGGTTTCACCGTGTTAGCCAGGATGGTCTTGATCTCCTGACCTCGTGATCCGCTGGCCTCGGTCTCCCAAAGTGCTGGGATTACAGGCGTAAGCCAGTGCGCCCGGCCTTCGGTGATTATTTCTAACATCCCTAATGCCTCCTGTATATTGTGCTAAGTAACTGAGCATCTGGCACAATATGAATGAAACACACATGGTTCCTGACCTCTTGGAATGTATTGCCTAGTGGACAATATAGACAAACAATTGTCAGTTCCATTGTATTGTACATATCTTTCAGATGCATTCTGGAGAGTACCAGGATTCTCCAGAAGTGCCTTGGAGGTCAGTGCACAGCTACCAAGGAGGCTGAACACGTGTAGCTTCAGCTTCTCCACCCCTTCTTCAACAGAATAGCTCCACATGTATTATCACACTTCTTCTTCACATATGTGTGTTCATCATAAGAGTTTTACTTGAGAAAATGTATTTTGCAATTTAAGTGTGAAGTTCTAAAGAGTGTGATATGCGCTTTAATGGAGGAAATGCACTTGAGAGATAGGAATACACAAAGAGCACCTAATATAGACTTGAGGAATTGGGAAAGGCTTCCTAGAGGAAGTGGTGTCTGAACTGAGGCTGAAGTGTGTGCTGCTTTGCCTGTAAATGTAAGGCAAACATGATTTGAAGCCTTATGTGTTAGGACTCTTTAAAAAGAGTGTCATTTTATTATTTAGTTTTAACTGACAAATAAAGATTGTATAAATTTATCCTGTAGAGCATGTTGTTTTGAAATATCTATGCAGTATCCAATGACTGAATCAAGCTAATGACCATATGCATTACCTCATATATTTATCATATTTTTGTGATGATAACACTTAACACTTAAAGTCTGCTTCCTTATCAATTTTCAAGAAGACAATACATTGTGATTATTATAGTAATCATATTGTATATATTAGGATTCTTCATTTTTAAAATGTTAAAATCCAGCATGCCTTCTCCGGACTGAAGGAGTTCAGGGATGATTACTGGGTGGAAGCTGTGAGCAGGGGTTGACCGTGCTGCCTTGATTCTGGACAAGTCATTTCAGACATTGGGTGCAGTGAGAGGGAGAAGGGGGATAGAACAGCACTTGCCAAGATTTCCAGGTGTGAATATAGGTAAACAAGTGTCCACCAGTGAAAGGCATGGGGAGTAATGTTAAGGGAGCTTGGCCATTATGCTGAGAGCTGTGGTAAGCCATTGAAAGGTGTAATTTAGACAGAGACGTGGCCCATTCTGTGTTTGACTGCTGGGTGGAGTGTTCCTGAATAGTCCGCAAGGCCGAGGCTGTGATCAGGGCCAGTCTTCCTATATCCCTGCTGCCTGTGGCACATGAATACAGATGGAATCATTTCATTTTTAATATGATAGTGGGGGACATGAATGACTTTCTTAAACCCAAATCCCCAAATCCTTGGTGCCCTCATGATATCCCTGAGGTACCCCCCTCGCCCTGGTTGTCGCTCTGCGCTCAGCACAGCAGATATTATTTTGTAACTGTATCTGAGGTCTCAATAAGGTAATGTGAATTATGCAGGTAACCTGTCTAGTGTTTGACAACACTTTAAGTTTTTTCAAATAGCTACATTTCAGAATTAATGCAATTTAAAAGGGAGCATTTTTACACTTCTATGTGAGGGATGGTTTCAGCAAAAAGCTACAGGGGGTAATATATAGTATTACAGCAAAAAGGAAAGAATCCAAGACCAGAGGTGCAGCAGAAATGTTCTGCCTCCTCATACAGTATTTCAGAACCAAATGTAAATCAAAACTAAAGGCGGAAGCCCACAGGACAGCAAAGGGCACAAGTACACATACAGGAAGAAATAGTTTCTTCTGATGAGCCTTTTTTCTAGAGCAAGAATAAAGCATGCTTTGTTTCTTATAACTGTTGATAATGCACATGATAATATGTCTTTTCCTTCATCTTCCCTCTGGTATGCTGACATCTCTATATTAGCTTTAATATTGACAGATTAATACTGTGTGTTTTTTTGATTTGTGGGGTGTGCAGTTTAGTGGTTTTTATACAATTAGGAGGTGGAGAGGTCTGTGGAAGCATCATAGCCCAGGCATGGGAGCTGTCTTTCATTATGAGAAGTCATCTTTTCTCAGATTTTAGATTTTTTCCTTGAGCACTTTTTTGTAGAGTGTGTTCATGAAGACAGTTTTGGATGCAGTGCTTTGTCTATAAAAGTAAGCCAAACACGATTTGAAGCCTTATATGTTAGGATTCATTTTTAAAATTTTATTTTATTTTATTTTATCTATTTTTTGAGACAGAGTCTTGCTGTAGCTCCCAAGCTGGAGTTCAGTGGCATAATCAAGGCTTACTGCAGCTTCAACCTCCTGTGCTCACGCAATCCCACCACCTCACCCTTCCACAAGTAGCTGGGACGGCAGGCACATGCCACCATGCCTGGTCATATCTTATTATTAATTTATTTTTAATTGACAAATAAAAATTGTATATATATATCATGTACAACATGTTTTGAAATATGTATACAGTGTTGACTAAATCAAACTAATTAACATGCATTACCTCACATACTTACCTTTTTTGTGTGATGATAACTCTTAAAATCTACTGTTAGCAATTTTCAAGAATATAGTACATTGTTATTAACTGCAGTCCCTATGTTGTATATATTAGGATCCTGAATATTTAAGATTTGAAATGTAGCATGCCTTCTTTGGACTGAAGAGCTCAGAGATGTTGCTGGGTGTGAGCTGTGAAGCAGGGGTTGAATGTGCTGTGTTGGTTCTGAAAAAGTCTTTTCAGACCCAATCTGAGAAGATGCTGATAAGTCCTGCATTTCATTGAAACATTTAATAAGCAATGTAGCAACCACCTGCTTTTACAAAATGTAGCTGTTTAGCAGACTCAGCTGTGGAAAATGCAACCAAATGAACTAACCAATATGCAACAAATCCACTTAAAAGCTAAAATCAGTGTCACAGAATGTGTAAATGAGTTCATAAGGATCGTATGGTAGACACTAAAAGCCCATTTGTCTTTACTTTCCATATAATTACATCACCCTGGTTTATGTGGTTCTCATATCCACAGCAGAAGAGGAGTAGGGTATTAGAATAGATAAGAGAACTGGTTTGAGTTATTCACACTATTAGCACTGAGAAATGACAGCTAGTAGTTTTCCTGCCTCCTCTTATATTTCCAGGTCTTGAAAAGCATTCATGAGACCTAAGCAAGCCCAGCTGGCTGAGGCTTCTTATTAAATAAGGTGAAAATAGCTCCAATCTGTCTCCGTATATTGCCGGGGAATAACTATATTATAGCCCAGTAAAGTTATTGATTTTAAAAATAATGACCTTGAGCCATAAAGGAAAGTTCAGATTATATGTCTGATAGGTTTACCAGGTTCATAAACTGTAAATGGTATTGCCTTAAGTATGTATGTATTTCAACCAGAAATTGACAGCATTTACTACAGAAACCTTGAAGAAAATAATGGTTGTAGCCTGGATGACAATAAAGTATTATTATCATTCTTCTACTGATAACTGATAGATTTGTGTTAGTCAAGAGGGAGGTGAACAGGGATTTTATTGGCGCTTTGGATTAGACTCTGTTGGGTTCAGAATCCTTAATAACTTGGATGAAAACATAGAAAACACATCTATCAAACTTGCATATTTTCACTGCAAAGAATAGTTAATAGCTTGGAGCAGATGCAGAGGTTGGCAGACTTTTTTTGTAAAGGGCCAAATAGTAAATATTGTAGACTTTTCAGGCCATATGGTCTCTGTTACAACTACTCAACTCTACCATTATAGCATAAAAGCAGCCATAGAAACTGCAAAGTTAGACTCTGTTCTGGTCAGTCTGTGTCTGAATATGTTGTGCTCTTGGTACCTCTTTTTTGCACAATTCCACCTTTTTATAATTCCTTTAACCTAATTCCATAGCGTTTACTACTCTTCTATCTTTAAACTTTTCCTTCTTGTTGGCTCCATTCCCTCAGCCAACAGGTATGTTCTAGTTTCTTTGCACTGTCCCACAATACGCAAAAGTTGTTTTACTGTTTCTCTTCACTTTACCATCACAACTCAATGTCTCTTCCTCCTCTCCTCCCCTGTACCCATTGTGATTTGAAATCATCCCCACTGCTCCACGGAAACGCTCTGGGTGAAGTCACTGTGATTTATTGTTTCTTCAGGGATTAGCCCTTCTCTTCTTGAAGAATTCTCTTCCTTTGCCTTGACGCTGCCCATCGTTTGTCTTAACTACTCCTAAATGACAAATTTCAAATGGTGATAGAAATAAAGCCAAAACTAACGCAGGACACGTTTTAGGTTATTTGAAGAAGCAATATTAGAGAAAGCCTTAAAAAGCATGTTTTGTGTTTTACTCTTTCTCTGTTACCATGATGAATGATGAAGAAAGAAGGAAAAATTTTAGAATGTAATGGGGGATGGTGTTAATAGGAAAAGAAAGAACATTCAAAGATAAAACCAGTGTCATATTGTACCCTATCAATTTATACAACTATTAACATAACATTTTTGAGGATAAAACATATTTTTAAAATAAAGGGGTATTTATCACTATAAAATATGACATTGAACACATACATAGGTTTGTTTCCCTTATATTGTTGGATACCCTTTGTTTATTGTTTCCTCGACTGTCTCCTTGGCTGGGTCTTCCTGTCTGCCCTATAAATACTGGCACATTTTCTAGGGTTCAGACCTCAGATTTCTCTTCTCACTTTTCTCACTGCTTCTCTCTGGAGGATCGATCTTTATCTAGTGTCAATTGGTACTTGTGTGCAAATGACCCCCAAAAATATATTTTTAGCTTCTACCTTGTTACTGAGCCTTACCTGTCTTTTTATTTTGCTATTTGAGGTATACAATGAGTAATCACACTGGTAATTAAACTCTCCAACTCAGTAAATAATCATGTGAAGTAATTAGTTTGTAACATATTGGGTTATTCATCCAATGGTGAATTCCTTAATCATATTAATCCTTTTTGTTTTTGTTCTTCCAGACACATCACAATTGTTTTTGAATGAACTGTTGAGTCAATGTAAAGATCCTATATCACATTTTAGATAGAGGAATTGCACCACTCTGTGTAGCCTTCCCTGACTCCCAACCCTCCTCAGTTAAATTTTGCTACTCCTTTATTTATCCTGTATTTCTATCATAAGCCCTGCAATGTTACTCATTTATTTACATATCTGACATCTGCAGATATAGATTTACTAACTGTATTTAATACAGCTGAACATCCTCACTGTCCATTTCATTGGCTGGCACATTGGAGAAGCTCAATGAGGTCTGATGAATCTGTAAATCATCCAGTGAGTGTCCTTTTTAATGACAGATCTTTAGGCCACATGAGCCCTCTCACTGTCAGATTTTAAGCAAATGAGAGAGAGAGAGTGTTTAAATTCAGAATCTGGAGTGGCTGTCAGGTTTCTGCTTTAATTGTGTGGGTGGTTGCTGTATTGTTGAACAAGATAGGAAGTAACACAGGAAGAGCAGATAAGAGAAGGTCATAAAGATAGAAACTTAATTTGTGAACACTTTAAGCTTTAGGAGCTTGTGCAACATTGATGTGGAGAAACCTAGAGGCAGGAAGGTAAGATAGAAACATATTTGCCTGAAATGCATGCACAGTGAACTTGAAGTAAATGACTATATATTATAAAGTTTTTAAAATAATTAACATTTATGATTATGGGTGCATGATAATGTCTGATATTTCCTAAGTGCTTTTAACGTGGTTAAGTGCTTTAATATCTATTATGAACAGTGGTGTGAGTGAAGAATAGGTTATATGTTTCCAAAAGACTTTGTTGAAAACCCCAAATTACATATACTTTTAGACTGCCACCTTGGACATAGCATATTTTGGGTTAATTTTGGAGAATTATCAGTGAAATATGGAGAATTTTCAATTGTCTTTTAAAAAAAGCCAAACCAAAAACAAAAACAAAAAACACTAACCAGATAACACTGACTAGAATGAATCCTTTTTGTCATACCTTTCCAATATTAGTATTTGAGTACATTTACATAAAATTCCTGCTACTTAATAAAAGGGTTCAAAAAAGAGGTAAAAATAAATTAAGGATGAGGAAACAAGTCTTAAGAGTCAGTCTAGAAGATAGATGATAGAACACTAACAAAAAATTAATGCATCTTTGGTTTATAAATTTATAGAGAAATATGTTTACACTACATGTTATTTTACTGATGATAAAATAAGAATTGCTACTGAACAGGATATAAAAGTACATTTGCTGTAATAGAAATTTCATCAACAAAGTTTCTAAATATGTAATTAAAGGATTTGTAAACATTTGTTAATTAAAAAACAAGCTAGAATGAAGTGAGAGCAACTTGGAATTTAAGTACAGTATATGTTGGGATTATTTAAATACATCAGGAAGAACCACTGTGGCCTTATAGTTTTTATTCTTTAGTTTACTACTTTTCACCAAACCCAACTACAAAAAACATAACCACTTGTTAAGCAGAGACTACATGCAGTGCTCTGGATGAGGCACCATGGAGCAGAAATAGTCAAACCTAAGGCACAGTCTCTGCTCTGTTAAAACTTAACTTTGGCTGAAGAGAGAAAACACATATGTGAATAAACATAGGGCAAGGCAGTGCCATGTGAGTGCCACCGTTATGTGACCTGGGATTTTTTTTTTTTAAGATTCTCAACTTCGAGATTCCGTCTTGATGATCAAACTATAGCCACAAATTATCTATCCTAATATTTGGTTCAATAGAAAAAAATCTGTATTGGTCGAGTTGCTGTTGAGCACAATATTATTTGAAAATGAAAGGCCAACCCCTTATAATTAAGTTATTAAAACTTGAGCAGAAAAGCAACTTTTAATTTTAGGACCAGAAGTCTTACTTTCTTGATTGTTTTCTTTTGTGTGTTCGAATTTTAGGATACGTATTTCTGAACATAAAAGCAAATTTGTAGACTCAGTTACCCAGTATGCCTTAATTTTTTAATGTGTGATGTGCGAAATAATTATTTGACCACTGGATGGCAGTAAACAAAGACAACTTTGAGCATGATGTATTATTTTCCCTCTCTCTTTGTTGGGAATGTAAATTAAACTAACGAAGTCTCATATTTTCCACATACATTTTTTGAAAAATCTAAGAACAATGGGAACCTATCATTAATATACAACAATTCTATTCTGTATTATATCAATAAATTTTAAATATACTTAAAATATGTTGAAATAATTCAGATAACTGTTTTACTACTTTGTACTATTTACGCATCCAGCTTGCATGCGTGTGTAAAGTTCATGAAAATCCAATTTAGAAATATTGATTGATTGAAAATAATTTTTTGAACAAAATATGGATACAGGACCAGTTAGTTGGCCACTCTGACTTGCAGGACATTCCTAAAGATAAGAAAGAAGGAAAAGAGAAAAAGAAAGAAAAGAAAGGGAGAGTAAGAGGAGAAGAGAGAGAGAGAGCGAGCTTTCTATCAGTGTGGTAAACAGTAATCAATGATGGGTGTGCAACAGCTACATCATTGCTGCACATATAAAAATTGGGATGTATTCATCCAACTTTAATAAAAATTGCAAAATGTTATATAAAATGACCATTTTTAATTAATGCTTCAGATTAGAAAATCGTGTGTTGGGGTTTGTCCTATGGCTGAATAATGACCCCAATGGTATCATGTCCTAATTCTGGAAACTTTAAATGTTACTTTATATGCAAGAGACTTTGCAGATATGATTTACTTAAGGATCTTGAGATGGGAGATTTTCCTGAATTATTTGGGTAGGCCCTAAATGCAGTCACAAGTGTCCTTATAAGAGAGATGCCGAGGGAGATTTGACAAAGGCAGAAGAGATGGCTATGTGACCACAGAGGCAGAGATTTGAGTAATGCATCCACAAGCCAAGGAATGCCAGCAGCAAACAGGAGCTGGAAGAGGAAAGGTATGGGCTTTTCCCTGGAGCCTCCAGAGGGAGTATGGCCCTGCCAACACCTTAATTTGGGTCCATTGAAATTGAGTTCAGACTTCCAGTCTCCAGAACTGTAAGATAATAATGTGTGTTGTTTTAAGCCTGTAAATTTGGTGCAATTTGTTACAGCCGCTACAGGAAACTAATAGAGGGTCTTTGATATAAATAAGGAATAGTTGAACTGCATAGTTTGTTCAGCCCAGTTTCCCAACCATTATAAAGTTCATTGGCCAGTAAATCTATATTGACAGTTTAATGGTGCATTTAAATCTCTGCTTCTGAGAATTTCTTAGACTGGCCTCACTTCTGCCCTAATTCCGTGTCCGAAAGATTGAGATTTTTGGCTTGAAATCTTATGGACTTTTCAGATAAGATTAAATTGAGGATGATAAGGGCAGTGTCCTATTTCATTATATTATAAAATTATTCTTTAAAATTTTCATTAACCTCATGTGTCATTTATTCATTTGTTGGCTCATATGTTTTTTCATTTTTAATTCCATAAAAATTTGTTGCAAGTCCGCTGCATATCTGCTCCTATACAAGGTTCTGAGGTCAAAGTGTTGAAAGTGATGTGATAATTACATGATGATAGCTGCCATTCACAGAGCACTTACTAGTCTCAGCATTACATTAGGTATGTTGATGTCATGTGATATATGTAAGTACAATGACCACAGTATATATTAAGTGATGGGAACAGAAGATATATACAGCAGGTCCTAGAATAAAGTCATTTTTTCACCATCATTTCATTGTAACATTGATGAGAAAAAAAAAATCAATTTCCGGCCAGGGCCACTGTCCAGTGTGAAGTTTATGGGTTTTCTCTGGATACTCCGGCTGGGTCCTGCCTTGTGCCCTGAGCTACTGGAATATACTATGGCCACCTGAGACCCTGGAACTGGAATAAACGGGTTGAAATTGGGATGAATAAATGAATGCATATTATTGTAAAATACAAATTCATCAAGTGTAAAATAATCATACAAGTGCACTACAACAAATGGAGCAGGAGGGAAGCACTCCATGAGCCTGCCATATTTGTTCTTGTTTGAGCTGTGTGATGGTAGGGGCTGCTCCTTCCAATGTTCACTTTGCAAACATTTATTCCTTGACTTAACCTACCACTACTAACACTGCCATCATTCACTGATTCACCGAACTTGGGTATATAATTATCTCACTTGTTTTTATTCATTTTCTTCTTGAATGTATGTATAGCTCACATTTATTTCAGTGTTGAATATTAGAACTGTTTTGGTCTTTATTTAGAAGTTTGGTGATGTTTTTGTGACCAGAATTACGCCACAGGAATTTAATTCTTGTTTATACCAACTAACCTATAATAAAGTTGGTTTCTCTATACATCCTTTCACTTAAAGTTGCAATTTCCAATAACCTATAGATGACATTAAGTGAGAACTTACTGTACCTAGATGAGGTATTTGCAAATTTTAAGATTGCTGGAAATTTGGAGTTTAGGACAGACTCAGAGAATTCTAGGTGAATTTCTGAGCCCAAGGTTCTTAGCTGAAATTGAACCAAACTCTTGCCACTTTAAACCATCATTGTCCAAAAGACATGTAATATAAGACAATGTTATTTAAAGATTTTTAGTAACCACATAAAAAAGTAAAAATAAATACATGAAGTTATTTTGGTACATATACACCATGGAATGCTATGGAGCCATAAAAAAACAAGATCATGTCCTTTGCAGAGACGTGGGTAAAGCTGGAGGCCATTATCCTTAGCAAACTAACAGAAACAGAAAACCAAATACAATATGTTCTTACTTATAAGTGTAAGCTAAGTTATGAGAACACATGGACACGTATTGGGGAACAACACACACTGGGGCCTTTCAGAGGATGAAGGGTGGGAGGAGGGAGAGGATCAGGAAAAATAAATAATGGGTACAAGGCTTAATACGTAGGTAATGAAATAATCTGTACAACAAACCCCCATGACACAAGTTTACCTGTGTAACAAACCTGAACTTGTACCCCTGAGCTTAAAATAAAAGTTAAAAATGTAATAATATATTTTATTTAACTCATTATGTATGTAAATATTTCAATGTTTCATTTTTTTAATTATTGCAATTTCTTTTAAATTTTTATAATACTAAATCTTCAAAATCTTATATGAATTTTATACTTACAATACATCCTATTTCAGAGTAGTCACATTTCAAAGCTTTGATAGCCACATGTGGCTAATTGTTGCCAATTTGGACAGTATAGCTCTAGGATGTTAAGATCATTTATTTGGAACAACACATATTATCATTGGTCTATTTCCAACATAAAAAATTAATTTATGAGAGCTGTTTTTGTATCTCATCGTTTCAGTGTGTTGAAATCGACTGAGTCACTTTTTAAGGAGCTGAATAACTCAGCATGGGCAAGTTTTATGTGTTTTATATTTTATTATTATATCAACACTGGTACAGTTGATGTTGCTAGTTATTTTCATGTATTCTGTTAAAAAAACTTATAGTCATCTAATAAACTAACAGTAAACCATGCTACTCAGTTTTTATGCCAGGTGCAAAATTTCTGATGTTTGAAAAGTTTCTAATAAAAACAGCAGCTGGCACTTCATTTCTCTGCCATGAATGGGAAAAACTGTGTTTAATCAGCATTGATACTTCTTTTCATTTATGAGTTAATTTGCATTAGGCAATGATAATATTCTCATTTATCACTTCACCATTTTTTAAAATTACTCTTTCTGGCTGATTTTAAAAGATTTGTGAATAAGAGAACCCCGCCATATGTTTGGAGGATTTAACCTATTATTTGTATTTGTAATGTGTATTTGATACAGATTTTGTATCAGGTCTGTATTTTGTCTAATTTGTATTTGTATTATTTTGTATAATCTGTATTTGATACAGATTTTTACTATGTCACCCATATCTCCTTGGAGTTAGTGGCCTTAGATTTGGAGCCATTGGACAGCATATATTTGGAGCATGACTTTTTAGGACAATAAAATATTATGAAAACTCCTTTTGCATTAAAAAATTTCAGTCCTGCCACTGACTATGTGGCCTAGAATTTAAATGTGATTAATAAAAAATATTACAGCAATATAAATCATTCTTACTTTTGTTAAATGAGTATCTCTACCAAGCTATTGGTGGATCATTGTTGACATGACCATTAATTTGCATATAATTTGATCAAGAAAATATATTCTATCAAGTAAAATGGCTTGTAAGGGTATCCTATGTTTCCTTACCTGACTTTGGAAATACCTTATTGGATTGTGTTCCCATGACAGGCTCATATATAATGATGCCCTGTAAAACTTTCATTGCTGCAAAATTTATTTCTTCTATTTGTGGAGAACTCGACCTAAGTTGTCCATTTTGATATCTTATGCTGTGAAAAACCAAGCACAGTGTACTTAGTTTTCAAAACAAGCACACAAGATTGGAAAGGCTTGTTCTAAGCAAGAAACAACTTCGCAAGATCAGAATCTCTTCAACAACCTTATATGTGTCAAGTCACAGTGTGACTCTGGTGTTATTGAAAACATTTTATTCAGAGGGCACTTTTCATTTTTCAACAAAGAAGTGGTTTTTAAAACAACTATTTTTTTTTTTTTTTTTAGTATGCCCCGGTGCCTGGTGTGTACCAAGCTCACTTATTTCTACCTGAAATTATATCATTTATTTTCATTTGTTTATGTTCTGTCTTCCTTCAAGAATATAAGCTCTGTAAGGATAAAGATTTTGTCTGTTTTATTCCCTACTGTATCCTTTTTTATGTCTCTTTTATTCCCCTCTGGCTCCTGGAATAGTACCTGATATATAGAGGTACTCAGTAAATATTTGCAGAATGATTGAATGAACTCCAGCCAAGTACAATTCAGATGAAGCTCCAACTCATAGCAGGAGGAAAACGTCTGGGTAGCAGATGGGGACTAACTTTGATGCTAATGAGGCTTACGCTTCAGGCCCATCCCCTTGATTGGCCCCTTTCAAGGTCCTGTTGCCTAATTTTATATGCATAACTTGATGTTCTTTATCTTAAGAGGGCATCCCACATCATACAAGTGTTAGACTACAAAAATCTGGATCATTCCCTGGAATTGAGATCCCTATCTTGACATATGAGGTTTGCTCTGAAGAAATGTGGAAACAAGTGAAACTATCAGATGAAAAATTTAGTGCAGCGGGAGCTCCAGTACCCTAAGAGCAGGATTAACCACATTGTCTAGTCTAATATGAAACATCCTGACTGATGTCCATGGCAATTGTGTTGCTTTTGTGTTACTTCCCTGGAACACACTTCTTTTCTCACCATTGAGATATATATATTCCAAAGGTGTGTTGTATTTGTTCCCAAACGTATGTCTTCCAGTCCTACATGTTAATGTAATTACATAATTTAATTAAATGTTGTGTGACACAGCCAAACATGAATACAAAAAAGAGAGTTGTGTCTGTAAATAGTTAATTCAGTGTTTGTCGAAACTTTAATGGTGAGTGCTCAAAAATAAAGTTGTGGAGTTTATTAGTTTGCTTGGGCTGCCATACCAAAATGCCACAGACTGAATGTCTTAAATAACAGACTTTATTTCTCATAGTCCTGGAGGCTGGAAGGTCCAAATTCAAGGTGTTGGCAAATTTGATTTCTGGTGAGACTTCTCTTCCTGGCTGATAGATGGTCGCCATCTTACTGTGTCTTCACATGTTCTTTCCTCCTTGCGTATGTGGAAGGAAAGAGATCTCTGGTATATCTTCATCTTCTTAAAAGAACACGTGTCCTATACTATTAGAGCCCTATCCCTGTGATCTCATTTAGCCTTAATTATCTCTCTGAAGGCCCTATTTCTAAATACAAGCACACTCGGGGGTCAGGACTTCAACAGATACATTTTGGGAAGATACACTTCAGTTCATTACAGTTTGATATAAGTGAGAAAACTGAACTATTTCACAAAGAATGAAAATAAAATAAGTCTAAAAGGCCTAAAGAGCTCCCTATATAAATTGCTTCACATATATCTTTAAGGTTTTCTCTACTTTCAAGAAAGATAAATTGGAAATTATAGATAAATTATGGATGTAACTTATGCAAGAATGATTACAAAATTTTATCAGTATGAGACATACTTAAAGACTTGCAGTTCATCAGAAATTGGCTATAGAAATGCATATTTACATGTGTTAAACTTAAATAAAAATCTAAAACCCTACATTAACTGGCATAATCAATCCAGTACTGTTTCAACTATGTCACATAATAGGCTTTCAAATGTGTGTAAGTAAACAAATAATGTATTAAAGAGATGCATGTATTGCATGACGTAACATAGCATTCGGTTTATACCAACACTGGTTAATGACATTCATTAATTTGAAAAGAAAATCTAGCCTGATGAGAGACATATGGAATAATGATTAAGGGTAACAAGACCTCAGCTGAAATCCAGCCCCTACCACTTGCTCGCTATGTATTTGTAGGGATTACTCAACCCCTCTCAGTACTCAGAGATTAAATAACAATAACAATAACACCACTTATTATAAAGTAAATGTGAATATTAAATAGTTATTTAGCACAATATCAGGGAAATGGCACTGAATAAATGGTAAGGCAAGCAGGGTATTTTCACTTTTCCACATTTTTTCAGAGTATACTTTAAATAGTAAAAGTTGTATCTTACTACAAGTAGTAGTAACACCTGTGTCTACAATATGTTAATACAGTGATTTCACTAAATTTTAGCTCTGGAAGGCTTCTTAGAGGTAGGTTAGGCCATCTTCTTGCTTTATGGTTGACAAAACCATGGCAGAGAAAGGTGCAGTAACTTCCCTGAAGTCATACAGTGGATCACTGGCAGGGTCAGGATTTAAATAAAAATTTCTGATCTATCATCTGCTGCTTTTTACAAAGTATTGCAGATACCTTTTGTCTATTTTTAGGTAAGACAATTGCCAGCTTCAGTAAGATTGGTGATAAAGAGTTAAAATGGCTTCATCAACATTGAATTGGTTGTATCATAAATCTGCTTGCTTTTTCTCTGCCAAGTTGTGTTCAGTTTGGCCTTTTTGTTTGTTTGTTTTGTTTTGTTGGGTTTTTTTTTTTTTTTTTTTTTGGTGACGGAGTTTTGCTCTTATTGCCCAGGCTAAAGTGCAGTGGCGCAATCTCAGCTCACTGCAACTTCTGCCGCCTGGGTTCAAGCGATTCTCCTGCCTCAGCCTCCCGAGTAGCTGGGATTACAGGCGTGTGCCACCGTGCCTGGCTAATTTTTGTATTTTTAGTAAGACAGGGTTTCACCATGTTGACCAAGCTAGTCTCTAACTCCTAACCTCAAGTGACCCACCCACTTCGGCCTCTGGACTTTTTAAATGGTAAATATAATGGCTGTAATTGTTTCAGCATTTGGAATAAAAAATGTTGATAAGAATTGAGATTCTGAGGTTTTTCCTTTTCTTGTTGTTGCTTTTTATTTTATTTATAGTCTTAACCTCCAGTGTTCCACTTGATGGAGTACCTTCAAGTCACAGTTGTAGATCAAGCAAGTTTTCAGCCTGTTCACTGGAGGTTTGACTTTTTAGCAATCTGCTGCCTATAAAAACATGAATCTAAATAAAGTTGGAAGCCAAGATGAGATGACATCCATTCCTGACTTGCCAATCGAAGCTTTCTTTAATGTCTAAAAGCAATATGTATGCAAATAACAAACCAGTTTTAAGAAAAAGGATAGAAATTTAAGCTGCCTTAAATAATCTTAACTGCGTTTGAAAAGTAGACAAATTGGTTTTATAATATAACTAAGGAAAAGAGATGTAAATCCTTTCCTGGTTTTTAAGCAGTGCTTTGGAAGTGAGTTTCACTTGATTCATCTGTATTTTACTGAATACTCACTATATGCCAGGCACTTTGGCAGCTAGATGTATACTAGTAAAACGCATGATTCTCCACCCTAATGTAGCCATTTGGTCCAGAGACTCTCAAGGCTAGTAGATTATATGCACCAGAGTAAGTGTTGTGAGAACAGGGCCATACGAGCACCTAGGTGGTGCTTCTATCCCAGAACTGGGGAAGGACTAAGGCTTCCCCAAAGAGCTTGGGTTACCCTAAAATATAAATGGTACCTCCAAGGATGCTTAAACCAGACCTTCGGCTGCCAGGTTTTATGTTGTCATGGAGGCCAAAATCCAATAAGAATTCCAAGAAGTAAAGAGTTTCTGCTTTACTCTGCAAGCATTTGCTCAAGATCCCTTTCTAATTTTTTTGATCCCCTCTAGCATATTCAGAAATGAGTAGGCTGGACATAGATATTAGACAGCAGTTTTATTATAAATCTTACTACCTAATCAATGATTTTCTAAAGCAGGCCCAGCAGACAGTTTCTTATAGAGAGGTCTTCCTTATGCTAAAGAGGAAGTTATGCCTTCCTATTAAAATTAAACAAACAAAAAACATTTAAAAACACAGCAGACCTTTTAAGATCGCATGCTCAATAAAGAAAATTTTTTCATACAGAATATTAACGACAATATCCTATTGTTATGTTCTGAAAATACACACTGTAAGGAAAACCTGCATAGCTCCCTAAAAATAACCAGGCCTCCATTTTTCAGTGAGCTGTGGGAGCAGTACCATAGAGTACATCTCAGAGGCATGGTGCTTTCAGAGAGCAGCTCTGTTCCCTGGAGCATTCCCTGTAGTTACAGGAATGATTTACTCGCCTCACTCAGACACCCTGAATGCAGGCGGCTTTGAAACCTTCGCGGACATGCACTACCACAGCCTACATCATTGCCCCTGGAGGCATCGTAACATTTAATCCCACAGAGGGCTTTGGCCATATCAGAATGAACAGTCTGCATTTTCGAGAAGATTTTAGCACAGCAACATCACTTCCTGGAAACCCTCTCCCTTGTTCTAATCACAAAGAAATTATTAGGGCCTTCGGTTTTTCTATAGCACAGTCAATCACATCTCCAATTCTCATTTAGCCAAATCAAGAATTTGGAAACTTAGAGATAAGAGAACTCAGAGAAGACTTGTAATAAAATCATTGGTTTACTTGTTAAATATTATTGAGCATCTGTTGTTAGTAAGGCAGTATGCTAGGTAGATAAGGTGGAAATTTTAAAAAATCTATTAGATCATCTCTAATAGATATGTGTACATATACTATATATATACACACACACATTCCTGTACATATATATGTTAAATATTATGTATCCAGGCATTTGTATTTGTGTGTGAGTATATGTTATATAAATATGTGTGTATATATGTACACCACGCACACATATTCATATAAACATATATTTACTTTTATAAATACATGTTTGTGTGTGTATATGTATAAATACACACACACATATTTATATAGCATATATTCACACATGAATACATATACCCAGATTCATGATAATATTTAACATATGTATGTACAGGCATGCAAACATGTACACACATATGTTCAGGTGTATTGTTTGTTATGTGTATTATAAGGATGT